>NC_000013.11:85438775-85591616 GCF_000001405.40 Homo sapiens
GCTAAAAAGGCAAAGATTTAAACTGAATCAGATTTTTTTTTTCATGGGTGTACAACAGAAGAATAATGGCACAAAGAGTTGAAAATATTGACAAGAAATTGGGTCAAAATGATGCACCGTAAAATACAAACTAGATAGAGAAATAAGTGACTGAGAGGAGACCAGGGTGCTTAAAATACTTCAATGACCTCACTATTAAGGAAAAAAAAAAAAAAAGTCACAAAGAGCCAGTAGCACACTCTCACAAAAAAACTCGTCTGCTCTGTATAAGATCACTTTACTAGTGTTGGCTTAATTTCAACCACATTCATTCCTATTTCAAGGCCTTTTGATACGTGGTTCTGCTTTTGTGAACAGTCTCGTTTCTGTATTAACCTGGCTAAATTTTCCTCTTCCTACAAATCTCAACTCCAGCATCACTTACTCAGGGACACCATCCACCACCAAACTAGCCAGGTAAAGTTCCCTGGCCATATGTACCCAACACTTCTCTTTTTCACACTTTGTTCTTTTAAATTCCTTGGAATACATAAACATCTTGTTAACCTTTTCCCATATTTTCTGATTGATACATCCATGAAAGTCATAATTGTCTGAGGTGTCCTTGCTACCCCCTTTAGGGTCAGAGTAGGAACTGTATATTGTAATAGTTCATTTTACCTTGAAAAAGATTTTCAAATAATAGCAGAAAACTATACTCAGGTAAGGAAAACCATCTACTAAAATTGCATGTTTTTCTAATATCCACTTTAGTCACTTCAGTATAGGTTATTAATTCTCATTACATTTATAATATTTTTTCAACATTTGTTTTTTTAATATAAATTACATGTTCTGTGAAGACAGCAATTTCATCTATCTTACTTATCAAACTTTCTTAGATATAATACAGTGCCTAAAATACAGTCAGTGCTTGAAAAAAATCATTAAAAATTTAATCTTTTCCAACCTCTTCCTTTAGGCTTTTGCTAATAGCCTAAAGATTTTAATTCACTAAAAGTTTGTGGTTCCGTGTGTCAGAGATAGATTTTCATAATTTGTTTTCTTTAAATTATCAAGTTAAAAACACAAATCGTAAGCATCTTTCAAAAATTTCTGTTGAAAAATGACAAAATAAATTGGCAAGCCAAAGTGATACAGATTTAGATAGTTATATGCCAACATCTGAGACCACATGTTAAGATTTTACCATAAAATGGGCTACAGGCAAGAATTGGTTTCATTAGTATGGTTCAGAAAATAAATGTACTTGTGAACCATTCTGGCAATTTAAAAAAATATATGTTCTGAATCATAATCATAATCCTGTTCACTATTAAGTATTAAGGACAGCCAAGAACCCTAACTTATGTATCAGAGATGAGTAACATAAAATATATATTCACATAGGATTAATATTTACTTACAGATTTCTAGAGTAGTAAATGGTTTGCCAGATAATCAACTAAACTACAACTATAGGAAAACATTTTATATTACCATAGGATATCACTCCTTTTTTAAAAAAATGTCGATAACATTGAATGCAGTTACTTTTATTGGAGAATATTATTTTTTAAAGGGAGTTAAAAATTAATAGTTTGGCCCATTGCTGCTGTGCCTTTTCAATAAAAAGCACTGAGAAACTGGCTTTAGGTCCTTTTTGGTATTAGAACATAGAAATCCCAAGTTGTTCAATTTCTAGTCCAATTTCCAAAAAAAAGTTACAACTGTAAATGAGAATTTGAACTTTTAAAAATGTTATGGCAGAGGACCACATTATTATTAATTATTATTATTATTATTATTATTATTTTGGATTAAAGGTCAAAATACCTTTTACTGAGCTTTTAGATTTACAGAAACAATTTTGCCAAACCACTATTCATTTATGAAAATAATATTTAATGTTATTTATTCAAGCTATGCGGTTATATTGTTTGCAATTTTAGTTAATATGTAAGCTTTCTTACTAACTCTTTGAAAAATACAGTTTTTAGTCAAAGTAGGTTTGGCTTCAAATTGGTCCCTGGACGTCTTTTTTTTTTTCTCATCAATATATCAGTAACTATCATTCTTTTCTAGGTTGTTCTTACTACAGATTCCTATATCAGAGTAGTATTTGTATTTGCTGTAGCTCATTTTAACCTGTGAAAATCCTTCTATTAAGAGCAGAAAGCTTAAATCAGTTTAAGGAGATCATTTATTAACATCACATATTGTCATATATTAAGGAGATAGTTTGGTTCTGAAATAAGACATACAAAACCTGATAATTAGAAGAAAAGTGAAAAAGAAGATGATTCCAACAAATAGATGGATTTTTAGATATAGATCTAATCCAAAGCCTTTTAGAGGTAGAAATGGGTCAAAGCTGAGTCTTCTTTAGTTGTGTTTCCCTAAATTTTGGTAGCAGTTCTCTTATAAAAATTATTTGTATGACAGACACGTGTCTTTCCCCTAGGGAAGACATGACGTTGCTATTTAACTTTCCAGTAGACAGTAGTGAACCTTTACTCTTACTAATATTCGCTCATTATATCCAACAGTGAGAGCTAAGATTAGTGATTCTTATTGGCAAAATGGAGATCTGTTTTGCATTTACAACATAAAAAACTCAAATAATCAGTCTGTTTGTTTTCCATGCTCTGGCTTTAGCCACTCCGAATTTTCTCTTTACTTCTGAGTTATTAAAGTCTTGCAAGCTCTTATAGGTTTCTTTTTCTAACTTCCGTTTTTCCTGAGATTCACTTCACTTCCACTTTGCATTCTGAATCGGAGCACCATTAAAACATGCGCTGTGGGCTGGGCACAGTAGCTCACGCCTGTAATCCCAGCACTCTGGGAAGCCGAGGAGGGCGGATCATGAGGTCAGGAGATCGAGATCATCCTAGCTAACACAATGAAAACCTGTCTCTATGAAAAATACAAAAAATTAGCTGGGAGTGATGGCACACGCCTGTAGTCCCAGCTACTCGGAGGCTGAGGCAGGAGAATCGCTCGAACCTGGGAGACGGAGGCTGCAGTGAGCCAAGATTGTGCCACTGCACTCCAGCCTGGGCGACAAAGCAAGACTCTGTCTCAAAAAAAAAAAAAAAAGTTCTGTGTTTTTTACCTCCATTTGTGTGTTACTTCTCACTCACTGCTCTTGTTAGTGGGTCTCTCTCATCCTCCCTACGCCAATCTCTTAGAATCATCATGAAGAATCATTCTAAAAAGATTTCCTGTGATAGATACTCCACAGATAATAGCAACAACAACAAAAATCTGATTCTGAGGATGTAAAATATAAAACAGGCATTCTAGACCACTAAACTTTCATTTTGTCATCAAATATTTTGCTACATAAAATCTGACACATAATTCAAATTAGATACTAGTCACAGAAATTTCACAAAAGCTAGAAGTTAGAAAAAAAAATGTGATGACTATGCAAAGAAAAAGCTGAAAATAAAATATTTTTAGTTATTTTCCTGAGGAAATGTTATTCATTATTTAATCTGATAAGTTTTAGAATGCTTTGAAACAAAGACGATATTAAATGAACAATAATCTATTTTAATATATGAAAGAGGGGGACAATTTTGAGCTTTCATTTGGCTTTTTTTCTGTCCATTCTACAATTAAGGGCCCCAATTTTTTTCATGGCTCTTTTAAAATTAAGCACCCCCTCCAAACAACAGTGTGGTGCGTTCTCAACTGCTTGGTTCTGGGTTGCGCAGATGTGTGCTTATTCCTAGCAGCAGTAAGATGTGACCGTCTTCCTAGAAAGTTGCCTGACACCTTTGTAACAGAGAACAAGGATTCGACTACTGACCAAGTCTCTTTCATTCTCTCCATGTCCCTCTTTCTCTTGCTTATCATCACATTTATCCATCTAACTGCCATCTCCATTCTAATCATATATACATTCATATGTATGAGAATATACTTATCTTTCACTCATTGGATATTCTATTTTAGATACATACATACAATATTGTTATATATTGCAATGTATACATTGCTCTGGTCTGAATGTTTTGTGTCCCTCCAAAACTCATGTGTTGCAATCCTAATCTCCAAGGTGATGACATAAAGAGGTGGGGCCTTTGGGAGGTGATCAGATCATAAAGGAAGTTCAGCCATGAAGGGAATTAGTGCCCTTATAAAAGAAGTCCAAGGGAAAGACTGTTTGCCCCTTCCACCAAGTGAAAAAACAGTTAGCAGACACTGTCTGTGAGTAGCATGCCTTCATTGAATCTACTCTCACCATAATTGTGCATTTCCCAGACTCTAGAATGTGAGAAATAAATGTTTGTTGTTTATAAGCCACCCAGTTTATGATATCTTAGAAATAGTTCAAGACGTATTTTGCATGCAATTATAGTTTTCTTCTACAAGAAACTATTCAAAATGAAATTCAAAGTTATCTGTCTCAAGAAAAATCAATCAATAAATTTAAACCTTTACATTAAGGAGAAAATATGTTCTCTTAGATCTAGTGACATATTGTAATAAAATATACTAGAGACTCTAGGAGTTTTATTTTTAAGGTAACATAAAATATTTTTCTGTAGAGCTGAACTAGCTATCTTCTTTGCTTAATTTTTAAAGAAAGCTAAATCGTAACCCAGAGTCAACAAATCCATGTGTAATAAATACCCACTGTGGGCTCAGCACTTTGTTAAGCATTATTTCTACTTCTGGACAGCTTCGAAGTTGCTTGGAAAGGAATGCTTACATATATAAAATAAAGGAAGCAGAGTAAAATGGGACCAAACCAAATCTGATTCTTGTTTTGATTTATAACATCAACTGTATTATCAATTAGCCACGTGATTCACTGCAAGATAATTCATATCCCTGAGACTAACTTTCCCCAATTACAACACTGGGAATATCAGTTATTATTAAATGTATTTTAACACAGAAATTCTAATTCTGGAGAAAGAACAGTACAACAGAGAGTCTAATCAACAGCTGGGTCAAGTGGGCACAGCTTATGAGGCCTATTAAAATTTTGAAAAGAAAGTTTGACATAAATTGCTATGATGAATTCAATAGCAGACATGAAAATGGAAAGAGAATAATTTAGTTCAAAGTTCTAATATCTCCTAAAGCACAGATATTGAATTTAATAGGCACACATTTTATTACAGAATTAGTTCTCAGCCAGAGTCAACTAAAAAGTTTTCTTAAACCTCTTGAGTCTAATAAGAAATAAAGAAAAAACAGACTGAAACTGACACAGACTTCTAATTTAACTTCTACTAGTGACATGTTTAAATAATTCCATACAATAAAATGATCTAACAAGAGATGTTTACTTTTGCATTGATATTCATAAGCTTTTAAAATTGTGATGGCCATATATCAACTTCTTATTCAATAGCTAGATCTCTTGATACTAAAAAATCAAAATATGGAAAACATTTTAATAATTATTTCTATTAATTGAGGGAAATATATATAGCTCACTACATTTTTAAGTAAGTTTTGGCAAAGTATATTTTTTTTAATTGGCAACACTTCCATTTTGATCATCAGTTCTTTTGACATTTCTTCCTATTATGGTTTCTCTGAATTTAGTTTTCAGGTCAAATACCCCTGAATGTCTTCTAATTAGCCATTAGCCATCTTACATGCAATGCCCAAATTAACCGAAATATTACTTCCCACTATTTTATTATTCTAAATTTAAAATTATGTTTAGCTTATACATTATTTATTCCTATCCTGGATTTATAATGGTGCTTTAGTCAACCCAAAAGAGTATGTCTTTATCCAATATAATAGAAGCTACATTTCCATTAACCTGCTTCTGCTGAATTGAATATTTTAACTTAGAAATGCCATTTTACATTTATTATCGTTGAATGTTACTGTTTTTATTTCAGACATTGATTCCAGCCTATTGGTAATATTTTCAATTAACAAGTATTATTTTATCTCTCATACTTACTCTGTTCCATTTACATCTTCTTCAAATTTAATATGTGTATTTTTCTTTAATCATTAATTTCAAACAATATGATTCCTAACAGTGAAAGGCTAAGGAAGAAGTTAAGATTGACCCAGACAATCAAAATTATTTTTTACCTGTCAATACACATTGCAGTCTTACCATCTAATTCACATTTCAAAATGGCAGTTATTTTATGAAATATTTTGTAGAAAGCAAACAATTATTTCTGTGGCATTACTGTGATCTTAAAACTTAGTAACTCAAGAAAAAAAAAAGAAATGGGGGGAAGAAAAATAAAGAAACTGCTAAAATTTGGTAGGGTAAATTATTTTGGCTCTAAAATGTCACTCTAACTGCCTATGCACATGTTTATCCTAAATAGCATTTTAAAATTATTGTTAAAATTACTTATTTTTAGGATCTAGAATCGATCTTTCCCAGCTTTTGTAATATAAAAGAAAGCATCCTCCTACTAGAAGTTGGCATTCTTCTGACCCTCTCATTGGTGGAAAATAGCCTCCATGTTCATTTGGGGCTGTATTTCATCTGGACCTCAACATTATACTTCTTTTAAATGCCTAGAAAAGCTTGGATTTTATTAGTCATTCCATCGTTACTCCCATCAACACCTTCACTTGTTACCTCCCTCTCCCAACTTTAGCTGACATCTTATTTCATATAGAAAGTGTGTGTTTTTTTTTAATCTGAACTTCATTTAAAAGTTATTGACTTATCCTTTGCCTGTTTCACCTAAAATATTTCAATTTCTCTATGAAATCTATATTTTTATTTATTGTATCCATATTTCTTACATTATACTGAACATTTTAAAAAGTTCCTTTAAAATTTTTTTTAGCCAATTTCAAAAATTCTGTCAATTATAAGTCTATATTGTCCATTATAGGTCCAATATAAGTCTATATTGTCCATTTTTTTCTTGATTTTGTTTCTGTAGTTCTTCCTTCTGTATGCCTAATAATATTTTTGTGATATTCAAGAAAGATGTGCTAATCAGCAATTGTGCTGAGTCAGGGCTGGATTGAAAACCTGGAAATATCAGGTCAATCTCCATTTCATTCCTGTAATTCTAATTTTTATCTCTTCATAAAGCTGTGAAAAAATTCCAGTTCTCATTACCTCAACAACTTTTTACTGGCTTCAAACATGTCATTTCTAGCTTTCATCCAACTCTTTGTAAAAATGTGATTTTTGGTATGTCATAAGCTAAGCTACCCTATCCAATTTAATAGCTGAAATTTCTGACCTAATTCTTTTTTTATGTTATTCACATGTACTCTCATCTGTCTCTTTTTTTCTCTGTAGATATCTATTAAACCATCTATATACATACAGTAAAGTGCTCAATGGAGCATGTACTTTTGAGATACCTCTATTAATCACAGAAAGATAATATTGATTTTTCATATTAGTAATGTTTGCTACTCATTTGAAATTCAGAAACAAATGAATCATGGTAATAGAGAAATGTTTTTGAAGGAATATCTATGATTAACTTCCATAAATTTAGCTTGCTTTAGTCACACTAAAACTGTGCGATTTCTTCTACATATTTTCACATATTCAGTTTTTTTGAATCTTATATTATTTTTATTTTTCTCATATCTATGGAATTATTTTTTAACTATAAACTATTAGACCCTCCTAATAAAATAGAAAATAAATAATTTTCCTATACTATTTTATTTTCTACTTTTTAAAAAAGATAGTCAAGATTCAACTTCCAGAATAGAGAATTTATTCTCACAAAAGAAAAGAATATATTACCACCTATCCTGCAGATTTTTTCAATAGTTTACTTGGTCTAATTTCCCAAGTTTCTAAGAGAAGAAGTAGTTCTTTTAAACTTTCCCTGGTAACTGGAAAATAACTCTTTCTGTCTAGCATAGAGATCTGGGCATCTAACTGCTACTATATTCATTAATATTAGTACTTGGAAAGTAGTTTATACCATTTCCAATAACAACATCCACAAAAACTTACTGTATTCTTGTCAAGATCTTTTAACAAGATTTTACTAAATAAGCAAAAACTAAACATGGAATATTCTAATATTCTAATTCTTTCTAACTTTATTGTTTCATACACACACACACACACACACACAGACACACACTCACACTCACAGAGGTGTCCTCCTCTTGTTCCAAAATCCACAATTCATGACTTCTCCTTTATTATTTAAATTCCTACTTAAGCTCCAACCATAATATCTATAATCCACTTAGCTAGAAAAAAAACCATATTTTTTAAAGTGGAAAGAAATAGTCACCTTAGTTACATTTCCAGTAGCTAGAACACATATCTTTTTTCTTATATTCTAGAATTTAATTATCAGTTGCTGGAAAATATATGTTAGTTTAGAGAATCAAGCATCCAGCTAGAAATCAGTGATATTATTTCAAAGAAAGGAAGAACACATAATAGAGTGGGCAACAGGGAGTCTCTGCCATGATTATCCATTTCGAAGAGGATCTCATAATCTTCCTGAATTATTCATTTCAATGTTAATTTTAGTTCTACTGTCCCTGACTATCCTTAGGCCTGATATAATGGCTTTTATAATAGCATTACATTTTACAACTTCTTAAACAAAGTGTATTGATGGTTTTAGTGGTCAAATGCCATGTCCTTTATTTTATGAGTGTATTATTTAGTAAATGGCTACATTAGTTCACTTTATTAAGCACAATCCTGCTATCCAAAACCAGCCTAGACTCAACTTTATATGATATAATTGGATTCAAGGGAATCACCATTTGCCACATTAACTAATTTTCATGCCATTAAGAAACTGTACTATGAATCAAAATATCAGTTTGTCAAATGCAATCAGAAGATGAGTAAGTTTGGTGTCCAATCGTTATAGCAGATTGTCAGTTTTAACCATAATGGAAATCTTAGCAAGTCATCCTAGAGTATTTAGTGAAAGACCCTCTAGCATTATTTCAGACATTGCCACCTACTAAAGTGTGTTTTAGTGAAATGACTCTCCTCAGGATATCACTTATATGAATAGCAAGGAACCTATTTAAAAGGAATGCTTGAAAGGAAATATTTACAATTTTATATCATTTGGTAAAATATTTCTTAATTTTAGGAAAATTATACAGTTAGCTTGGTGAAATAATTGTGTGCATTACGTGACTGTATTTATTTCATCCATTATTAGATGCATCAGAATGCTAAGCAGGAAATAATGTCTATTTTATTCTTGACAGGATACTTTGAAATACGTATTGTAAATTGAGCCTGTAATTGGGGAGATACATATATATATATATATATATTATACATAGATGTATGCGTGCGTGCGTGTGTGTGTGTGTTTTCTCACCAAAATGGCCCTTGCAATGTTTAGAATATTAGAATGTACCCTATTTATTGCCATGGAAAAATAACTTTTTTAAGTGCAGAAAAGGCATATTATATTAAATATATTATTGACAGGAATAAATAAACGGGTTCCCTTATTGTTTACTAGAAGCTATTGATGTGATAGTAATAGTTTTTACTGTTATAATTAGTATATAGTGGTATATAATTGCTTGAAGGTCATTCTTAGGGGGATAAAAACAAGTATTACTGCACAATGGTATAGAAACAGTCTCGTTGATTCAAATGGATATGAGTGAATTCATTTCCTTGCCACTTAACAAGCATAAAACTAGTAGAATAAGTTCATAGAATAAGACTTCAGTGCTAACAGGAAATAAAAGTGGTTAAAATAAATGAATATATCTTAAATACAATGTGTAGAATGGATGCGTGTATGACTTCTAATAGTCCTTATGTTTCTAAATAAGTTGTTTTCAAACAAAAAGTGCACAAAGTTTGTGAGGAAAGGTGGGATGATTTCTTTGATGATTATACTCATTAGTGAGGAAGTAGTAAACATTTTCAGCTCTTTTTTTTTCTTTCTCCAATATTATATTTAAAAAGTTCAAATAAAACTTGGGAATGCTATTCTGAATTTATACATCTAAGAATTTATAGCTCTATTCTTCAGTTCTTCAGCAATGTTGTTTCAAGTAGACTTACCACAGTTTGCAATAACAAATCACTTTATTTTTAGGATTCGGATGAGTTCAGTATGAAATTGGCCCATAAAAATGTCAAAGTCAGTTGCTATGAAAAATGAAAAGAGCTTTCGAACTGAGCATAATATTTTTAACTCAAATATATTTCAGAATATTTTAATACATAAATTATTCTACACTCTTTTTTCTTGTTGTATATCTACCTACATACATATACATATGTGTACCTCTTCAGAAATTAAGAACAAAAAAAGATAATGCATACTAAAGATGTAATTGGAGACATTTTTATAATGAGAGTATTTACAAAAGTGTGGACAAAATTAAGGGAAACCAGCCGGTGTAGCAAAATTTAAAAACACCATTACCATCTCTAGGCCTGAAGGGGTAAGAGGTCTGTTGGTACCAGACATGGAAAAGCTAAAGAGGTCGAGCCAGAAGATTACCTGATGTAAACTATCTTTTTCTGAAGATGAATGGGGTGGGGGTATTATCTCCCCTTCAATTGATTGATTCCAACAACTAATGTAAACAAAGGTTTAATGCAGTCTATAGTGATCTGCCTTTCAGGGCAGAGAAGAATAAAGTAGACTGAGTTGTTTTGAGAAGAGAAACAGAGTTTATCTGCTATAGTCTTTTTATAATTCCATTAGAGGTGTTTCAGAAGCAAGTAAAAGAAATACAACTGAGCAACTGAAACAAGGTTGGGGGAAAAAAAGAAGAAAAAAAAAAACAGCAACAACCTACATTCCTGGCAGAATTGTTTGGGAATTTCAATTACATTGGGATAAATTTCTGAACCAAAGACTGAGTTCTAGGAAAAAGTGGGGATTAATCATACTAAATCTCTCAGCCCATCTGTCCATTGCTCATATCTACTTGCGATTTCCTATAATTTCTATAGACAGAATTTTCTCATAGAGATGGGATGATGACTGCCACTGGCTGCACTCTTCTGTCAACTTAGGGACTATAGGAAAAAATACAATTTTCCCCCAATTCTACTTATTAATGTAAAGGAAAATTTTGACACACCCAAATTAGATGACTCACTCAGATAATGACATATTACATTGGGAGAGGCGTGCATCATTTAAATCACAGATGACCAAAAATCTTACATATTTTGTATGCATTCATTTACATGAATTTACATCAAAAGAGGTACCTAGCCTCTCCTTAATCTGCTTAACTGATCTATTGTACTTTATTTTAACCACTCACATGCAGGTAATGTTCTGGCAGTAGTTATAATCAGAGTTCATGTTATCTCTGATGTCAAAGCATAAAATTTAACATCCAATTTTCTGACTACCAGTTCTTAACCTTATGGCTCTTTGATTAAGCTATCTTAAAACAGTAGTTCTTCAACTACTACAAGATTTAAAATACATGAAACTTTCCAATACTTTAATATTCTTTAGACATATTCTGGGTTCCTTTTTATTCACTTAGATTATCTGAGATAATCACTTTATATTTTTGGTGAATATACTCACCCTCCACTGTAATAACGTAGTATCACTATAAAATCCACTTTATCTCTCTTATACTCTCCTGTAATCACCTAGACTCGCCCTAGATGAACTCAGTTGAATCTGTGTTTGCAAGTAAGTTTTGCTGGATAAAATAGGTATTTTTAAATAAAAATAAACTTTTATTTATTGACTTCAATACGAGCAGAAAGCACTGCCTGGAAACTGTATGTCATTGCTCCTGTGGTATGAGCTTTCCATCACCTTAAAGACTATTTCATACTCTTCTAACACTCACATTTCCTCTTCTTGTTCCCTGAGCTTATACCATATCTAAGCTGAAGATCCTTTTTTCATGATTTATTAATGAATTTAAACCATCAATTACTAAATATGTTTTCCTTTTATTATATCCAGAGCTCAACCTATATACTTGTCTTCTCTCATACTGAAATCACCTTTGCAGCAATCATGACAGTGGGAAAATTATGACATCTTGCCTTTGAACTCCAAACTGCCCTTGGTCACTCCTGGGGGTGGGCAAAGCTATCTTTGGGAAAAATTTGATTTTAGTTCAATCTTAAGGATGAAAACAGAACTTCCACAGACTAAATTGCCTTTGTAAAACTAAAGACCCTTTGTAAAAAATGAAAGACCCTGAAGTTAATATTATGAAAAAGTTTTGCTAAGATGTAGGCATAGTTAAACAACAACCAGCTATTGCTCTGGAGGTTACAAGATTTGTAACTTCCCCAGTGATTCCTGTAAATAATATGCTGATTGCAGAACCAAAGATTGGCCTTTTGAGTTGTCTTTTCAGACTTTTCTATTTCTGATGACCTGATGACTCCACTCTGACATGCAACTCATGACACAACCCCCACTCAAAAGTGGACTCAGAGCAGGAGAACCATTTTCCATACCCCTGTGATTTAATCCTCAACTAATCAGCAGCACTTGTTCCCTAGTCTCCTGCCCACCAAACTATCTTTAGAAAACCCCAACCTCGGGCCAGGCATGGTGGCTCATGCCTGTAATCCCAGCACTTTGGAAGGTCAAGGCAGGCAGATCAAGAGGTCAGGAGTTTGAGACCAGCCTGGCTAACATGGTGAAACTCTTTCTCTACTAAGAATACAAAAATTAGCCAGGCGTGGTGGCACGCACCTGTAATCCCAGCTACTTGGGAAGCTGAGACAGAAGGATCGCTTGAAACCAGAAGGCGGAGATTGCAGGGAGTCAAGATTGTGCCACTGCGCTCCAGCCTGGGCAACAAGAGTGAAACTCCATCTCCAAAAACAAAACAAAACAAAATAAAGAACCCTAGCCTCCAAATTTTGTGGGAGGCTTATTTGAGTAATAATAAAAGTCTGGTTTTCCATTGAACTGGCTATACATGTATTAAACTTTCACTATTACAATTCTCCTGTCTGGATAAATCAGCTCTATCTGAGCAGCAGGCAAGATGAACCCATCAGGTGGTTACCATATTATTTTTTTTCAAGGAAATACAATTTAAAAAATTTTTATTTTGGATTCAGAGGGTACATGTGCAGGTTTGTTACATAGGTCTATTGCATGATACTGAGGTTTGGGGTGCCCATT
Organism: Homo sapiens; assembly: GCF_000001405.40. Lineage (NCBI taxonomy): Eukaryota > Metazoa > Chordata > Mammalia > Primates > Hominidae > Homo > Homo sapiens. The sequence continues at coordinate 85,451,837 of NC_000013.11, forward strand.
ACCTTGTCACCAGAGTAGCAATCAGAGTACCCAATAGTTTTTCAGCCCATGCCTACCTTTCTCCCTCTCCCCTCTAGAAGTCCCCAATGTCTATTGTTCCCATATTTATGTCCATGTGTACTCAATTTTTCGTTCTCACCTGTAAGTGAGAACATGTGGTATTTGGTTTTCTGTTCCTGCTTAGGATAATGGCCTCCAGATCCATCCACATTGCTGCTGTGTAGTAGTCCAAGGCGTATGTGTACCACATTTTCTTTATCCAATCCACTGTTGATGGGCATCTAGGTTGATTCCGTTATGTCAAAATATGTATTTCTAGTTAAGAAACCTTTTCATGTTTTTCCTGAATGTCTTTGCTTTACTTAGGCCTTTCTAATTCCAGGTAAATTTGTGAACCAATTGATGAAGCATCCTCCAGAATACTCTATTTTTATTTTCTGAAAATCACTTGAGTCTATATATTACTTTCTGAAAAATAGACATTTTATAATAATAATTTCTTCATTATATTCTCCACTAATATTTCATAGTTTACTCTTCCTTTACTCTCTTTTCTCTTTAAATATTCACTCTGTGTAAAAGTAGACTAACTGGGCACTAACTAAAGTCTCACAAGAATGTAACCATTTGCCTTACCACGTACTTGCCCCTCTTCCTACATACCTTCTTCACCTTTAAGAAAATATATAAATACTAAACCTCCTGAAAACCTCTTTGGAAAAACCTACCACAAATGCACCTGAGGTTCTTGTTTTTCCCCAGAGGTGCACTAAAGCTGGTTTAATAAACCTGAATCTTTTGCCTTAGTCACTCATTTCAGTTATGTTTCCACTATAGAGCTGTTCCTAGATTTATAGTAGCACATTATTTGTTACATTGTAAATTATATTTTTTAAATTAAGTTGATGTTAAATAGAAATGCAAATTGACTGGCATATAGTAATTATATGTACAAAACTCTTGCTAAATATGTTTTAATATTTTATTTTAAAATTATTTAGTTTTAAGAAAAGTGGCAAAAATAGTGTGAAGAATTTCTATATACCCTTCACTTAGTTTCAGCATCCCTTCATAATAATTGCCTAAAAAATTATGTTGATTGCCAAATAATGATATTCTAAAGCTATCATTCCTTCTACCTGTTTAATTGAGATTCTACTATAACAAAAATCCAGTTTTTCTCTGATATGTTGTATTCAATTATTTATTTATATCTGTATGGCCCTGTGAATTAGTGGAGTATCCCAAGGATTATAATTTATTTTATTTTTTTAGTTGATAATCTGATTATTTCATATTTGTCTAGGTGTGTTTCCTCCTGACCTGATGACATTATTATATGCCCATTTTCTTATTTTCTGTTGCAATATCATTTTCCAGGTCAACTTGTAATGCCCTTGTCCCCGCCCTGGAATTAGTTGTTTATCCAATAATCTTTGATTCCTTTAAATGAAGAATGACATTTTGAAATTACAGTCTGAATGCTCTATGCTTACTCATTGCTACTGAAATATCTTGGATTCCAGGCAATCAGCAGTCAGAGTTGTACCCTACTATTATAGAGATGTGTGTGTATGTGTGCTGGTGTGTGTATTCTCTCTCATTCTCTTTCTCTCTTCTATTTATCCCTTCTTGAACAAAAACATGAGTTGATAATTAGATCTGTAATTCCAGACCAATATTTTAAGGTTCATTCTAACATTTCCCTTTTCTCTATAGTAACCACATTTTCCACCTGTGCTAAACCTATCTCTTTTCTGCAATGTACTTGTTTTATTAATCTTATAACACACAAATAATATTCATTCTGAATTGCCAACCCATAAAATCTTGGAAAATGAACTCACTAGCCACAGTTCACATTTGTGTATAGTTCTTTTTCTTCAGCATGATAATATGAAGTCCAAATATTATGTTCAAGAATATTTCTCACTAATTAAATATGGCCACTTTATTGATTATAATTTTACTTACATATATTTGCTTTTTTTGTATTCTATTTTTAGTAGTTTATTATCTTTGCTATGTGGGTGTTTGTGTTTGTAGCAAAACTTCCATGTTCCTAAAGTCAAAATTATTTTTAAAATGTGTTTTTTAATAGTTAAAATAATCAATCCTCTCTACTTCCTATCTCCTCCCAGTTCGACTCTATTCCTACCCTCTCTTCCCATGTAACCCATCTCACCGGTTCGTTATCATCCGTAAGTTTCCTTTTACACAAAATACAGATAAATGTATGTTTACTTACACTTCGTTTTTGCTCACTTGAATGGTAGCATATTATTGATACTCTTTTACAAACTTATTATTTGTTTTGTTTTACTTAATGTGTTTATAAATCACTCCAGTTCACACAACCCTTTAAGTCTTACTTGGTTTTTCATTTCTTTCTTTGACTAAAGCTGCAGAGTATTTTAAACTTCTTAATTTAAGAAATAATTTTTCCATATATTCTCTTTGTTGAGTAAACAATTATACCTTCTGCAAACAGTGAACCTTTTTTGTTTCTTCCTATCAAATCTATATTTTATCTTTTTCTTACCATTTATAGCCTACAGCAAAAGATTGCATCTAAACAGGGAATGAGGGCACATTTGTCATGTTCTGAAGAATTGATTACTTTGCATGAATAGTAAATTTGAGGCATGGTGTTTGTAACAAGGATGGAAGTGTTCCTAGATGTCTACAGCAGGTCACAGTGATGGAAGAAAAAATACATTCCAGTTCTGGGTGCCTGGTGGCCTTTTTTTAATTATTCTTTATCATACTCTCTTCTGGCTTGTACCTTATGTTCCACCAAAACTACTCTTGCTAAAGTAACTGATGAACATGTTTCATTCACCCTACTTTACCAGTAAGGAGCATAAGTAGTTTCATGACACCACACTCCCCTGGTTTTCTTCCTATAAATTTGGCTGCTCCTTCTGTTTTGCAGTTCTTTCTCTTTGGCCTGACTTCTAGACATGGGAGCTCCCTATGTATCAGTTATGGACCCTCTTCTATACTGACTCTCCACCATCTTCCTAATGATCTCATCAACTTCAATGGCTTTATACATATTTTACTTGTGTGTGCCACTCAAATGCATAAGTCAAGCCCAGTCCTTATCTCTGACTTCTAAACTTCTATATCCAACTTTCTTCCTTATAATTAAATTCAGGTATTTGACTGGCAACTTTAAATTTATTATTTTAACATTTACCACATTTATATTAGTTATAAATCTAACTAATTTAAACCTATTTCCAAACCACCCCATCTTCCATATTTGACTTTTCTCCAATTTTTCTATATTAATAAATGATAAATCTACCTGCCTTGTTAGCCATACATCTGGCTATATTTTCCCCCCACCCCATATTCAATACTTTCTAATTCAAATCTGTCAGTCTTCTATCCTTTCCACCCTTCTTATTAAAGCTACCATCATGTCTTGCCAACTGTATAATACATCCCCTAGACTGTATCCATGAGTTCTCTCTTATCAACCTCCAAGTATTCTTGCATAGATGATCTTAAACAAACAGCAACAAAAATAACACAATGGCTCTTCTTAAAATTGTTTGTTTTCCATGAATATCCCCCTTTTCGAAAACTCCAGGGGACCTACCTAGCACCCTATGAATGTTTGTTGTCTGACTACCAATCTTGTTTTATGTGCTAAGTTCTTCCTTATTAAACGTTGGTTCTTTTCAAAATGTCTATGTCCTCTTTCCTCAATGTTTTCAATTACAAGAATTTCTTCTTCTCTGTCCACACACTTGGGAGTGTGTGTGTGTGTATTTATACACATTTAAGCATATGTTTCATTCCATTTTAATAAATATGAAGCCCAATTATTTTTAAGCATCCATTCTGTGATTATGAAACTGCCTTTGCATAAATTAAAACCATGCAAAAACTAAGGCAGTCAGGGAGATCTGATCTAGCCAGCCCTCATCTTGCCTTTAGCCTTCAAGCTGTCCTTAATTATTGCTGGGATTGGGCCAAGCGAACTTTGAGAGACATTTAGTTTATAGTTTAAATGATGATAGCCCTTCCCTAATATTCGACCACCTTTGTAAATTTAATGAAAGGCCACCAGTGTAGGAGAATGAAAGGAGCCTGAATTCTGCTAAGGTGTAGATGTAAAGGATTGACAGTGATCATTCCAGAGGTCACCAGATATGCAACTTCCTCAATTACTCCTGCAGATAACATCACTATTATAGAACCTAAGAGTGGCCTTTTAAGATATATTTTCAGGGTTTTTGCATGTCTGATAACCAGTGGCTCCACCTGACCCACTCACCAATGGTTCCATGTAGACCCACCAACTTCTCCTCTTGCCTAATCAAGAAAAAGTTCAGCAGCATGAGAACCATTTCCACATCCCTATGATTGCAACCCCAACCAATCAGCAGCAAGCACCCATTGCCTAGCAAGCTCCACCACTTCCCTCAAACTGTCTTTGAAAAACTCTAGCCCCCAAATTCTCAGGCTGATTTGAGTAATAATAACACTCTGGTCTTCCATTTAGCTGGCTCTGCATGAATTAAACTCTTTCTGTATTGCAATTTCCCTGTTTCGATACATCAGATCTATCTGGGCAGCAGGCAAGAAGAACCTATTGGGCAGTTACACTGAGAATATTTCCTAATTTATTAATACTTAACTTTTTATATATGAACATTTGATATGGTTTGGCTGTGTCCCCACCCAAATCTTATCTTGAATTGTAGCCCCCATATTCCCCATGTGTTGTGGGAGGAAGCTGGTGGGAGGTAATTGAATCATGGAGTCGGGTGTTTCCTGTGCTGTTCTCATAATAGTGAGTTCTCAGAAGATTTGATAGTTTTATAAGGGGCTTTCCCCTTCACTCAGCTCTCCTTCTCTCTCCTGCTGCACTGTGAAGAGGTGCCTTCCACTATGATTGTAGGTTTCCTGAGGCCTCCCTAGCCATGTGGAACTGTGAGTCAAATAAACCTCTTTTCTTTATACATTACACAGTCTTGGGCAGTTCTTTACAGCAGTGTGAGAAGGGACTAATACAGTGAATTGGTACCACACAACGTGGGGTGATACTCTAAAGATACATGAAAATGTGGAAACAACTTTGAAACTAGGTAATAGGTCAAGGTCGGAACAGTTTGGAGGGATCAGAAAAGGACAAAAAAAAATTGGAAAAGTTTGGAATTTCCTAGAGAGTTGCAGGGCTCAGAAGATGTGGGAAAGTTTGGAACTTCCTGGAGACTTATTGAATGGTTTGACCAAAATGGTGACAGTGACATGGACAAAGAAGTCTAGGCTGAGGTGGCCTCAGATGGAGATGAGAAACTTCTTGAGTACTGGAGCAAAAGTGACTCTTGCTATGCTTTAGCATAGAGACTGGTGGCATTTTGACCCTGCCCTAGAGATCTTTGAAACTTCAAATTTGAGAGAGATGATTTAGGGTATCTGGTAGAAGAAATTTCTAAGTAGCAAAGTGGAAGAGAAAGCAGAGCATAAAAGTTTGGAAGTTTTGCAGCCTGACAGTGTGATAGAAAAGAAAAAACCCATTTTCTCAGAAGAAATTCAAGAAGGCTGTAGAAATTTGCCTAAATAATGAGGAGTCAAATGTTAATCACTGAGAAAATGGGGACAATGTCTCCAGGCTATGTCAGAGGTCTTCACAGTAGCCCCTCCTATCACAGGCCCAGAGGCCTAGGAGAGAAAAATGGTTTTGTTTGCCAGGCCCAGGGCCTCACTCCTCTGTCCTCTCCTGGGGACATAGTGCCCTGTGTCCCAGCCATGGCTAAAAGGGGCCAACAGCTCAGGCTGTTGCTTCAGAGGGTGCAAGCCCCAAACCTTGACAGCTTACATATGGTGTTCGGCCAGTAAGTGCACAGAAGTAAAGAATTGAGGTTTGAGAACCTCCACCTAGATTTCAGAGGACGTATGGAAATTCCTGGATATACAGGCAGAAGTTTGCAGTAGGAGTGGAGCCCTCATGGAGAATCTCCACTAGGGCAGGGCAGAAGAGAATTTTGGGGCTGGTCAGAGCCCCCACACAGAGCCCCCACTGGGACACTGGCTAGTGGGAATCTGTGAGAAGAGGACCTCCATCCTCCAGACCACAGAATGGTAGATCCACTGACAGCTTGCACCATGTGCCTAGAAAAGCCACAGGCCCTCAATGCCAGCCCATGAAAGCAGCCAGGAGGGGGGCTGCACCCTGTATAACCACTGAGGCAGAGCTGCCCAAGGCCATGGGAGACCATCTCTTGAATCAGTTTGACCTGGATGTGAGATACGGAGTCAAAGGAGTTCATTTTGGAACTTTAAGTTTTAATGACTGCCTTATTGGATTTCGGACTTGCCTGGGGCCTGTGGCCTCTTTGTTTTGGCCAATTTCTCCCATTTGGAATGGCTGTAGTTACCCATGCCTGTACCTCCATTGTGTCTAGGAAATAACTAACTTTCTATTGATTTTACAGGCTCCTCGGTGGAAGGGACTTGCCTTGTCTCAGATGAGACTTTGGATTTGGACTTTCAAGTTAATGTTGGAATGAGTCAAGAATTTGAGGGACTGTTGGAAGGGTATGATTGTGTATTGAATTATGAAGACATGAGATTTGGGAAGGAGCAGGGGCAGAATGGTATGGTTTGGCTGTGTCCCCACCCAAATCTCATCTTGAATTGTGGCCCCTATATTCCCCAAGTGCCAAGGAGGGAACCTGGTGAGAGGTAATTGAATCATGGGGGTGGGTTTTTCTTGTGCTGTTCTCATGATAGTGACTGAGTTCTCATGAGATCTGATGGTTTTATAAGTGGCTTCCCCCACTGCTTGGTTCTCATTCCTCCTTCTGCTTCCCTGTAAAGAGGTACCATGATTGTAAATTTTCTGGGTCCTCCTCAGCCATGCAGAACTGTGAGTCAATTAAACCTCTTTTCTTTATAATTACCCAGTCTTGGGCAGTTCTTTATAGGAGTGTGGAACTGGCTAATTAACACCATTAGATCATAGAATGAATAGCATTGTCTTTCCCTTTAATGACATATTTAAAACCTGTGGTTTGGAAGAGAGACATTATCAGTAAGAGATTTAATCAATTTCCCATGCAATGACCACTACTATTAAAAGCTCTCTTCTAATTTTTCTATCTAAAATCCCCTACACAGCAAGAGTAGCAGCATCAGCCACTCCTCAAAGAAGGTATTTTCTTGCCTGATTTAAGTTGTTCTGCTCCTGTTGGTCATCACTGGAGTAAGACACATTCGTAAATATCTAAGTTGCCTCACATGCACATGATTCACATATTTTTAATTAAACTTGTTTTACCTTGAGATAATTGTAGATATATTTTCTATTATAAGATCATGCAGAGACCACCTGCACATAATATAAATCTCTAATGCAGTATCATAACCACGATATTGATGATGGTATAGTCAAGATACAGATTAATTAGTTCCTAACACCATAGCGTTTTCATAATGCCCTCTTATCTACATTCACCTCTCTTCCCTACTTCTCTGTATTTCCAAACAAAATATTGGCACATGGTCTGACAATAAATTAATGTCTCTGTGGGGTTAACACATTTATATCAGCATTCTTGTATAATGTAAGTTGTTTTTATCTATACTGTGCGTTGTGATTTGCAATATATCTTGTGAATGAATACTATTAACTAAGCACTTTCTCTGTCACCAGTCAGCACCCTGTAAAAATGCACCAATCAGCACTCTGTGTCTAGCTAAAGATTGTAAACGCACCAATCAGCACTCTGTAAAATGGACCAATCAGCAGTCTGTAAAATGGACTAATCAGCGCTCTGTAAAATGGACCAATCAGCAGGATGTGGGCAGGGCCAAATAAGGGAATAAAAGCTAGCCACCTGAGCCAACAGCGGCAAACCACTAGGGTCCTCTTCCACTCTGTGGAAGCTTTGTTCTTTCACTCTTCACAATAAATCTTGCTGCTGCTCGCTCTTTGGGTCCACACTAGCTTTATGAGCTGTAACACTTACCACGAGGGTCTGCTGCTTCATTCCTGAGGTCAGTGAGACCATGAACCCACCAGAAGGAATAAACAACTCTGGATGCACTGCCTTTAAGAGCTGTAACACTCACTGCAGAGGTCTGCAGCTTCACTCCCTAAGTCAGCGAGACCATGAACCCACTGGGAGGAACAAACAACTCCAGACGCACTGCCTTTAAGCGCTGTAGCACTCACTGCAAAGGTCTGTGGCTTCACTCCTTAAGTCAGTGAGACCATGAACCCACTGGGAGAAACAAACAACTCCAGACACGCCACCTCTAAGACCTGTAACACTCACTGTGAAGTTCTGTGGCTTCACTCCTTAAGTCAGCGAGACCACGAACCCACCAGAAGGAAGAAACTCCAGACACATCTGAACATCTGAAGAAACAAATTCTGGACACACCATTTTTAAGAGCTGTAACACTCACCGCGAGGGTCCGCAGGTTCATTCTGGAAGTCAGCGAGACCAAGAACCCACCAGAAGGAATAAATTCCGGACACACCTACAGCTGAAATCAATAGCAGATCTGTACAGCTACAGACTCCATGCTCTCTACATAAATAAAATGACCACCACTCGGGTGCCTGTAGTCCCAGCTACTTGGGAGGCTGAGGCAGGAGAATGGCATGAATCCGGAAAGGTGGAGCTTGCAGTGAGCCGATATCATGCCAATACACTCCAGCCTGGGCAACAGAGCAAGACTCCATATTTAAAAAAAAAAAAAAAAAAAAAGGCAACCACTTAACACAGCACCTCAGAAAAAAATAATAATCAGAAAAATTTACTTGCAATTTAAAAATTTTTTTAAATGGAGTATATTCTCCCTTATGAGAAGATCTATTTTATAAGGGAGGAGAGATTGTTTTATTGTGTTCTTAAGAAGCAGTTTAAACTACACCGTTATATCTCTCAGATTCAAATCATAGAATGAACTTCAAAATTAGATGTGTGTATGCTGTGATTTTGGAGGATCAGAAGCAGGACTGACAACAAAAGACCTTGGAACACAAATCACTACTCTTTGTAACGAAAATAGTTTACTGCTTGAAGAGTGACTTCTTTGTATATTTCTATTTCTAATATAGATCACTTCAAATAATCATGTTTTTCTTTCATTTGTAGATCTATACATGGAATCATGATAGGTATTTAGAAGTGAATTTAGAAAATTTAGGTGAATCAAGGACAAATAAGAATGCTTATCTGAGGCCAGGCACGGTGGCTCACACCTGCAATCCTAGCACTTTGGGAGGCCGAGGTGGGCGGATAGCCTAAGCTCAGCCTGGACAACAAAATGAAACCCCGTCTCTACTGAAATACAAAAAATGAGCTATGCATGGTGGCAGGCACCTTTAAGCCCAGCTACTGGGGAGGCTGAGGCCAGAGAATCGCTTGAACCCTGGAGGTGGAAGTTGCAGTGAGCCGAGATGGCACCGCTGCACTCCAGCCTGGGTGACGGAGCGAGACTCTGTCTCCAAAAAAAAAAAAAAAAAAATTAAAAAAAAATTGCTTTTATAAGGGACAGCATGGCATGGTGGAATGCTCATAGTCTTTATATGACAGAATTAATCACTCACTCTCCTACTTCCTAACAGTGGGGGAATTACTTAATGTCTGCAGTTACCAGTTACTTCATCTGTAAACAATATATAGCTAGACATTCAATATATGATTTTCTAAATAATAAATTGATATTTCAGAACACCCCAGATGGAGACTGGCATCCAATAGGTAACTGATGAAATGTAACACTAAAATATGAAAGATAAGTTATGTTGAACTCAATTTTTCATATTTCAAAAATTTTAGAGAATTAGCCTTTCCTGAAAAAGAAAAATAATATGGGTTGCCTGACCTGACTTGCTGACTCAAGAAACCTTCATGTCAAACCAATTTTAAGTCTTATGACTGTATTTATGTTCCAAGACAATTAGGACTTGAAAATCTTTTAAATACTGGAAGTTAATCCGTCTTCTTTCAGACTGTCATCTAGCCAAGTGTTATTGGCTTAGTTAGGTAAAAATGATTCCAACTACCAAGAAAAGATTTTCATTTTATTTTTAAAGCACAGTTTGAATCCTGATGCTTTCTACATATTTCCTCAATAAATTAATCTTTGCTTTAACAAATGCAAATTTAAATCACAAAAAAAAAGAAAAATCCTTCTAAAATGTATTAGTCAATTTTATGGATCTTTATAAGTGCTTTAAGATTAATGGAGTATATATGTGCCAAAAGGAAATTTCTTCAAATGCCATATTGTGCTGAAGAATATTTAAGGGGGAAGATCATATTTTATATTTAGGAAGTAAAATGTGAAGTCTTTCTTCTGCCATATTTGCTGGGATTTCCAACTCTTGGCATATAATGTTCTACAGAATAAATATACAGAGAGAGAAATTTTGAGTTAATTAATATCAAGTGTTCATTTGGACTAGCTGATAACTACACATAGCTTGATAAGAATGAAATAGAGAATACTCTTGGATAACAAAGTTTGATGACAATTAAATCAAATTTAGGTTATAGCAAAGCCCTTAATATTTTCAGGTAGCAGAGGATGTATGCTAGATTTCTCTGGATAGCTTCAACTTCAAATGTTGCCATTCTAGCAGCCACATTTGGAAAATGAGCTATACAATATAAATGTCAATTTAGGAAAATAATTATTTAATTCTGACAGTGAAAAACACAAGAAAAAATTCTGAGCTATTGCCTACTTGTCATTGTTTTAAAATGAAATAAAAACATTAATTTAAAAAAACACTTCCCAACCAGAAACAATTAAAAAGAACAACTATAAAAACAGACAATAATAATTTTCCAAAACCTATTTACTTTTATCTGCTTCTATAATATCTCTTACTCTGTGATATCAATTTAAATAAAAAGGGATTGGATAAATTTATGTAAAAAATGTCCATTTTAATGTAACAGTTTTGCCCTCAAGGGCTAATATCACAAGTTTTCAGTAAACAGAACCTGCCACAACATAATATGCTTCAGTGAATGTTTCCCAAGAAGAAAGAAAAAAGCAGTGAAGAAACTTGCTTCTTTTGTTTTAGTAACATTACTATAGCTCAGGCTTTGAAGGCTCTGTTGTATGTCACCCAGTGCAGGATTGCCAGAGTGAACAATTAACAACAGAGGATGCCAAATTCAATTTAATTTAAGATGAGCAATGAGATAACAACATAAGTATATGCCACGCAATGTCTGGGACATAGTTACACTAACAAGAAAATACCTGTTGATCTGATACTCAAAATTGCTTTGTTTTTTAATTTTATCTGGCAACCCTAGTCTAGTCATATTAATTCTTAGTCTGTTAAGATACTTTCTAATTTTCCAGTGAAAATTAGAAAGTAAATGTGGAAAATTAGAAAGTTCAGTGGAAAATTAGAAAGTTACTTTCTAATTTTCAGTGGTAACTGCTTCTTTTAATTTTTAATAATTTTCCAAGATAAAGGTTTAAGGCATATCCTTAACAAGCAGGCCAAAAAATAAAAAAAATACTGGAGTACGTTTTGATGGCAATAAATACGCTTAAGTCATTAGAACTATGTTTTTGCTCTTGCACTTTAGTTTTCTTACTATTTTCACACATCAATTATAAGACAAATGTTATTCCACTCTGGCTTATGATATTGATTTAAATTCAATGTTACTTTTAGAGAGAAAAAAATTCAACGTTACTTTTAGAGAGAAAAAAATTTAGTAGGAAAACAATTTCTTTTATATTCACTTTTTTGTATTAGGCCATCCTTACATTGCTATAACGAAATACCTGAGACTGGGTAATTTATAAGAAAAGAGATCTAATTGGCTCATGTTTCTGCGGGCTGTGCAGAAAGTGTACTGGCATCTGCTTCTGGGGAGGCATCAGGAAGCTTCCAGTCATAGCAGAAGGCAAAGGGAGAGCAGGCACGTCAAATGGTGAAAGCATGAGCAAAAGTGAGAAGCGGAGAAATGCCATACACTTTTAAACAACCAGATCTTGTGAGAACTCACTATCATGAGAACAATACCATGTGGATGGTGCTAAACCATTCATGAGAAATCCACCCCCATGATCAAGCCATCTCCCACCAGGTCCCACCTCAAATATTGGAGATTACAATTTAATATGAAATTTGGATGGGGACACAATTCAAGCTATATTACTTTGGTTACCTTATAATGATATGCCTTTTTATTAGGGTAGAGATAGAAATATATAAATGAAATGAGCAATATATTGTGCATTAAACTTAAAGACATACGGGAATCGCATAGCAGTGCTTTTTGTTTCTTTGTTTTTATTTCTTCTCCTTCATAATTTAATCAGGAACCTAAGAACTCCATATATCCTATCTTTGCTACTGGGGAAAAAGTAAATAATAAATAATTTTTGTCTGATTTCTGATATAGGAGGAATAAAACTTCAGTATTTCTATTGGCAACTAATTATAGTATTTAATTTTTCTTTATTGAAGTTCAAAAAAAATATAATGGGGTAGGATTGTGACACTGGTAGTGAGACTTTTACAATTTGTCAGCTTTTCCCTTTCTTCCCCCCCAAAATGATACATTCACTTATTCTACAAATATTTATTGAGTGCCTACTATGTGCCAAGTGTTATTTTTTAATATACTGCTAAAGAGCTGATTCTATAGAAGACATTGTTTTATTCCTGGAACAAATTGAGAATTAGGCTTGAAGCTTACCATAAGTTGCAAGGCCAAAGAGTTAGTCTTAAGTCCCTCTTCTCCCAATAGGAAGAATAAAACCAAGCTTAGCTTCTGAAGAAGTTCATGACTTTTTCCACCACACAGGGGGACTGTAACATGCCATACATTCGAGAACCCCAGCTATCCCAATGTCTCCAGGTCCTGGGCACTAGCTTTCCTGCATAACGAGTAAAGTGCTGACACTCGGAGTTCAGACTGCCATTGCACCACACAGCCTGCACGTGTTTGTACTGACAAGGCTATTTACTTCTGTTGCGTTATTGGAGGAAGATGCATGGAAGAGAGGATTCCCTCTAAAACTAGACTCACCCATACCCAGCAGAAGCGCAGACCTGAAACATTTCCATGGAATGCTGTGGAGTGTATTAATCAGGGTTCTCCAGGGAAATAGAACCAATAGGGGAGATAGATCAATTGATAGATCAGTTAGTTGATCGATCAATCAGTAGATAGATAAAAATATTTTATCTTCAAATGTGGCTAACCTGCCTTTAAACACATCCACAAAGTTACCAATTTCAGTTATCCAACTTTAATTTTTAATTCCATTGGGCTTTGCTCCTTTCTTTCCTCTCTCTCTTCTTTCTACTTTTCTTTCTTCTTTCCTCTCTCTCTTTTCAGTCTTCTACCAAAATGCAGCTTGCATTTTATTTCTTGAACATATTAATGAAAGTTATTTTAAGTCCATGATTGATAACTACATTATATTTTCCTCTGTAGGTCTGCTATGGTTTGGATGTGATTTGCTCCCACCAAAGCTAATTTTGAAGTTACATCCCCAGTGTGGCAGTGTTGCGAGAGGTGGGGCCTAGTGGAAAGTTCTGAGTCTTGGGGACAGATCCCTCCTGAATAGATTTATGCCTTCCTGTGTGAGTGAATACTGGCTCTAAAGATAATGGATTCGCTCTTGTGAGAGTGAGTTGTTATATATTGAGCTTCCTCCTTCTGTCTGGTTCTTTTTCACATGTAACAGTTCACCCTTTCACATTCTGCCATTTTATTAAGCAGCACGAAAGTCTTCACCATAAGCCAGTGCCGTGGCCATGAACTTCCCATTCACCAGAAATGTGAGCTAAATAAGCCTCTTGTATTTATAAATTACCTAGTTTCAGGTATTCTGTTACAGTAATACAGAACAGACTTAGACAGAGTCTATGTATTTTCTGTTGTTTCTTTGGTTTTACATCATTTTTTGTTTTGTTTATTTATATGGCAGCATTAGGCCATTCTTGCATTGCTTATAAAGAAGTACCTGCCTGTAATCCCAGCACTCTGGGAGGCTGAGGCGAACGGATCACGAGGTCAGGAGATCGAGACCATCCTGGCTAACATGGTGAAACCCTGTCTTTACTAAAAAAAAATACAAAAAATTAGCCAGGCGTAGCGGCAGGCGCCTGTAGTCCCAGCTACTCAGGAGGCTGAGGCAGAAGAATGACGTGAACCTGGGAGGCGGAGCTTGCAGTGAGCAGAGATGGCACCACTGCACTCCAGCCTGGGCGACAGAGCAAGACTCTGTCTCAAAAAAAGAAAAAAAAAAAAAAAAGAATTACCTTAAGACTGGGTAATTTATTTTAAAAGAGGCTTAATTGGCTCACAGTTCTGCAGGATATATAAGAAACATGGTGCTGGCATCCACTTATGGAGAAGCTTCCCATCATGGCAGAAGACAAAGGGGAAGCAAGCAGGTAACATGGCAAAAGCAGAAGCAAGAGAGAGAAAGCACTAGGGTGCTGGGTGGGGGGGAGTGGGGGCGGGGTAGGTGCCGCACACTTTTAAACAACCAGATTGCCTGTGAACTCAAGAGTGAGAGCTCACTTTTCACCAAGGGGATAGCCCAAGCCATTCATGAGAAATCCACTTCCATGATCCAATATCTCTCATCAGGCCCCAACTTCAACACTGGGGATTACATATCAACCTGAGACTTGGGTGGAATATCCAAACTATATTCATGCCTGATCATTTTTTGCTATGTGAAGGGTATTGTACATGAAAAACTGCAGCCATAATTTGAAATTTAGAATAACGTTTTCTTCCTCATATTATTTACAAATATGAGTATGGTTTTGGGTGACTGTTTATATTCAGTCCCTGAATTGCTACAAAAAATATAGTATTAAAGTTAATTGCTTAGCCACTGAAGATAAAGAAATAATATTCTGGGGTTTTTCCTACCTCACATATATCGTCTATGAAATTCCAATTTATTGCCTTCTCTTCACATTCTTTTTGTTTAAATAAAGATATTGCAGTTAATGTTTTCTAGTGTTTCAAGAGCTTTCTTTTGAGAATCAAAGAATGCCAGCCCTGTTCAGAGCAAGTATAACACGTGTATATCTTGAACGTTTTTAGTAAAGTTTTATAGTTTGATATATCTGACTCCTTGAATATATAGCCAATGTCTATATATTGTGTTCCCATTCACCCTGGCCCAGTATGTTATCACATATCTGGAGGAATTTTGTACCATTTAATTGTCTTCCCTACTTCTAATCCTAATCTATTCCACTCTACATTAACTTCATTGTAAAATACCTTTTAAAATGTCTTTTTTTACTGACAATCATTCTGTTGATTTCACGTGAATATAAGTTCATGCACGTACTTCTTAGCAAATCAGTTAAAGTTCCCAACATATAATCCAGTGTTCCTTTTTAGCACTACCTGGTAAAAACTCTTATTCAGGAAGAAAGATCAACTCAACTTTTGGCAGCTGCCCATTGCAATTTTGAATTACTTGCTGTTAGTTTCGCTGTTTATTTTTCCCTGGCATTCATATATTGAAGCCTAATCATGTATGTGCTGTTAGCAGGAGGTGAGGCCTTTGGCAGAGCCCTCATGAATAGGGTAAGTGCTCTTACGAGACACATCCCACGTAACTATAGAGCATCTCCTTCCTCCACGTAAGGACACAGTGAGAAGGTGCAGTGTACGAACCAGAGTCCTCACCAAAAATTGAATTGGCCAGCTCCTTGACTTTGGACTTTCCAACTTCTAAATCTGTGAGAAATAAATTTTTGTTGTTTATAAACTACCCAGTCCATGGTATTATTTTATAGCAGTCCAAATGGATTAAGACACTTGCTAATTCTATTTTCTCATTGTTATGTTCTCCAATTTTACTTATGCTTTTTTTTCTACCACTATTTACATTCTTCCCAGCTCACAATACAAATACGAATCTTTCCGTCATTTAAAATTACGTTGATCTAAAATCAACATGCAGCTTAGTTACAACTTAGTAGTTTTTTTCTTTTTTACATTTGAATATGTTACCTCTCTAATGTGTTAGAAAACACAATATTAAATTATTTTCATTTTTCAGTATTTAGGATATAATTATTCACATATGAGTTATTCATTTAAGTACATATAAATAACTATGAACAAATTCATATCTCTGAAAAGTGAAGTTTTCTCTTTGGAATTTCTTCATTGCCCTGTTATCAGGATTTAGAAACTCATCATTTAGATATTCTAACTAGTCTTAAAGTTTGACTATTTTTTTGCACTCTTTTTTTAAAAAATATTTTTTGTTTAACATAAAAAGCTTTCACATTCTGTGTTACTCCAACTTCCTGATAAATTTCTCTCACAGAATAAAACATCCATTATTGAAAAAACCGTCAATAAATAAAAAGTAAACATTTTAATTATTGTATACATAATTAAGTATATTATATGATAAACAGTATTTTTTTAATAATATATCACAGAGCCCTTGTCATGATGCTTAACAAGACCTGATTCTATGTTAAGAGTCATTGAACTGGCCAGGCATGGTGGCTGATGCCTATAATCCCAACACTTTTGGGAGGCTGATGCGTTCCAATCACGTGAGGCGAGGAGTTTAAGACCAGCCTGACCAACATGGCAAAACCTTGTCTCTACTAAAAATACAAAAAAATTTACCTGGGCATGGTGGCTGATGCCTGTATTTCCAGCTGCTTGGGTAGCTGAGGGACGAGAATCACTTGAACCCGGGAGGTGGAGGTTGCATTGGGCAGAGATCACGTCACTGCACTCCAGCCTGGGTGACAGAGCAAAGACCCTGTCTCAAACAAACACACAAACAAAAAGTCATTGAACTTCCAAAATCAAAGTTTAATTCCTCATCACACTCTAACGTACATAATATTGTCTAGAATTTTTCTGTTTAAAGTATGAAGTTAACTCATGAAAGTGAAAAGTAAGTCTTTATAAAAAGACTATTTTTCTCTTAGTGGCTGTGATAAATAAACGTTATGAATAGAAGTTCTGATCTTACATTGCTTAATAGAAAATGGGAACAAAGTAAATTTATCACTGCAAAATGAGTATTTTCAAAACCATAAATCTTCTAAGATTAAAAGACTTGGTTAAATTTATTTTAAGGTATATTTTCTAAAAATAATTTGATATCAACAATTAATATAACTGATGGAATGTGAAGTCTTATGCTATAATGAGTTAAGATTTACAGCTATGTATCATCATTACATGTCCAGTTTAAAATCTATTTGCACTCACAACTAAAAATAAATCCCATTGCAATAACAGAAAAAAAGATAACATAGCAGTGAAAAGCTACGTACTTTCAGAAGAGATATACTTACCTGCATTTATGTTTAATACTTAATTTTTAAAAATTGGCTCTTCAAAAATGAATCAGTTATTTTATTCTATGAATTTATTAGAAAAAAACATATTTTAAGCTCTTCAGCATTAAACTGCTGCCTCCAAAAAGTGTTCACTATGTGGGGTAAGAGAAAATTATAATAGCTCCCACTTATTGTTTTATATTTTTTATCCCCATTTTACTTTTGAAGACAGTTATTCAGGGAAATTAGTAACTTTTCAAGCACACTCATCTCTGATTTGGCTGAACCAACGCCACTGTAGTGTATCAAGGATTCTGACTCTAAATTCTATGCTTCTCATTTAATTTCCTGCCATGAATAATGTGAGGAGTACTTGAGAAAAGCTAGCTGAGTAGTTTATTTTGAAGTTTTTACACAAGACAAAGTGCTTCAGAGTGAATCAGACCAAGGACACATGCATAATAATATCAATCTGTTAGTGTCATTAGAATGAAAAATATTGCCATAAAATAAGGATTTAAAAGAAATCTGGTCTTCATTATCCACATCTCACCTTTAAGGAATACTAAGGAAAATGACTATCTTGTTTATATAAATGCATTAAAGCTGTAGTGATTTTTCTCTGATGTATTTTAAAGGGCACTGTAAAGACTCTTTACATTAAAAAAACTTGGCAAACATTTGTTTTTCTTTAAAGCTTCTCAATAATGTATCTGAGAATATTCATTTAATTAATGATCTATTTGACAGGCACCCTTTATTTCCTTGTTTTTTTATATTTTACAAATTAGCATTTTGTTTGTTAACCATAATATTCATGTGTCTCTATAAAAACAAGTTAGCTATTATAACAGGAGCCTGTATTGAATTGTAGAATTTTTTTCTCTAAAATAATCTAAGCATTAATTATTATTTATTTTCTTACCATTATGGGAAGCTTTCTTCTTTTTTTACCAAAACATGAAAAAAATTTAACAATTCAGATCACATTGTAATGTAAAATTATCATGCTTGCAATCTGGACTCTGAGAAAAAACTACTGTTTTACAGATAAGGATTTTTGTTTTATTAATTACAAAGAATTAGCTCTTGATTCAGTTGGATACGTGACCAGGAAGTGACCAACTATACTGGAGTAGGCAGAGATAAAAGATTCAACATTCACAGAAAAATGGGTAGACAACAGAAAATTTGGCACCATCTCAGCATGTCAGAACTTACAATCTCAGTGTCATTAAAAAGTATATATAATATTAATCTCACTTTTCATCTTGTAAGAATTATGTTAACATACTTTTTAGTCATCAAGATCAATAGTAGAAAATTCATCAAACTGGATATGCGATTTTTAAAAAGCACATGAAAAAAGTGCAATCCAAAATAGTGTGCAGAGAATCTTTGAACTGAGTGAAGTCACACATAGGAATAGAATCAATGTGGAGGTGTCATAAATTGGAAATTGTTTTGAAGTTGATTGGCAAGATTATGGATGACATTTTCTTTCTCTTGGGATTTCAGAATTGCTTTAAATTGTTCTATCTCTCATCTGTACCTTCTCCTAAAGAGAAAGAAATTGGTCTTTTTTCACCATCGTATGCTGGGTGAGCAAGTTTGGAGAGGTGGGCAGGAAATTTCATTTTAGTCTATATGTCTTTGTACCAAAGAAAGCCACAAGACCTGATGGAGAAAGTTTTACATCACCCAGAGATCCCAGATTTTGAGCAGCCTGCAGTGACTGAATGGGGCACTATATCTCCCAGAAGGAGGAGTGAGTGTGCCAAATATTTGGGAAGAAACATAAAATTAGGTAAGGGGAAGAGCAGTCCGTGCCAAGGGAGCAAGAATACAAAAATTCTTATTTTATGCAAAATATGGTATCTGATTTTCCAAAATCACTACAAAAAATTTAAACAATGAGCCACCTGACTTCAGAGTCATCTTATTAAGGAAGGATAGTGTTCCTGAAATATCAAGAACTTTGAGACTGAGAATTTGCTAAGTAACTGTCATCATGGGCAATCCAAGTAAAGGAAGATAAATCAAGTCTATCATAGGAATAGGCAACATGATATTTTTTAAAGAGAAAGCAGAGACAATGAGACACTATAAGCAGCATTTAAAAATCAGGCTTTTGTATATTAATCTATCTAAAAATAATTTTTAAAAATGCAGAGGAAGTCTTTTGCAGTCAGCTGCTTAGGACAAGCATAAAGCCAAAAGAAAGAATATAGTATAAAACATCTGAAAAATTCTATTGACTCAAATGAAGAATAGTTTACCAATTCCTCAGAAAAAAACGAGAGGTAGATGAGTATAATTCTTATACCATTTATAATCAGACATATATGGAAATTAACTGTTACACAATGCAAAATAAATGGTTTGGTGTTATATTATTACATAATGAGAGACAGATGATATTATGAATTCAAAGGAAGGAGACATCTTTATAGTTTTAAGCTTCAAAGAGAACTTGAATTAAATAGAAAGGAGAAAAAATCATGTAGATCTATGGATATATGAAGAAAAAGCATATAAGTATAAAAAACTTCTGTGAAACAATGATTAGATTTTCTCAATAGCAATCAAGGTATAATATTATGATTCAGCAAAGGTCTTTCTTTTGACTTGTCTGTAAAAAACAAAGAGTCTAGTATGGGATCATTTGGTTCTCAGAATCAAATAGACAGGATATAGACTGTTTTGAGCCTTAATAGAGTTGACACTGGATACCTGGGTCTAATCAGGGCATTCTACTTCCAAAAGGATAGAATAGGGCTGGTCAGTGTTTCAGTGTCAACAATTTAGTAGTCTGGCAGGCTAAGATGCAAGAGTGGTTGAAGAAAATAGAAGCTTTGATGAAGCTTTTACATAAAGACCTTTTATTCTGGCTATCTAGGAGCTAAAAACTGTTGGGTTTTAAAAGGGGTGTGTGGACTCTGTGCCTGAGAAAGTGAAGACTAGTCATTCAGCCTCCAGCATTTGATGTTAACTTCTGACTGGAGAGCAGCACAGGTTGGTGGGGGTGAGTGCTCAGCTAGGGACTACTGAAATGAAAATTGGCTGGTAAATAACATTTCATATATAAGTAAGTCACTAAAAGGCACTGAGGAAAGTTTCAGTTCCTACCTGTTGAATTCATAATGTCTTCCATATCATGTTACCTCTCTGACTCCAGTGTGGAAACAATCTACCCATCTTCTGTTTGTTCAGAGGCAATACAATTACTGTTGGATCCAGCAAAAAATAAATCTGGGTTTGAGTCAAGCTTCCTCTGCTTATGATACCTATTCAAAATTTATTGCAATAATGTATTCTTAATATAAAAATACCAATAGTTTACTGCACGTCAAACACTATGAAATGCCTGAAATACAGTGATTTAGTGATCCCTCGTAGCATCATTTGTTAAGTGCCCACTGTGAGCTTAGAAGTGTTCAGGATTGGTGATAACAGCATTTATTAACAATAATAAATGCCTTTCCTTATGAAGCTTACATTCTCTGTTCATCAAGGAACTAGTGGCATATTAAGGAAAAGAGGCTGATGAAAAGAAACACAGGCCGGGCAGGTGGCTCATGCCTGTAATCTCAGCACTTTGGGAGCCAAGGCAGGTGGATCACCTGAGGTCAGGAGTTCTAGACCAGCCTGACCAACGTGGGGAAACTCCGTCTGTACTAAAAATACAAAATTAGTCGGGTGTGGTGGGGCATGCCTGTAATCCCAGCTACTCGGGAGGCTGAGGCAGGAGAACTGCTTGAACCCGGGAGATGGAGCTTGCAGTGAGCCGAGATGGCGCCACTGCACTCCAGCCTGGGCGACAAAGCCAGACTCTTGTCTCAAAATAAAATGCCACAAAAAGAAGCATTACATACATCCAAAAACTAAGATACCCGACTATAATACAGTTCTCTATTTTCCAAATAAGAAAAGGCAACAAGAATACTTTTGTCTACCTTAGATAAAATGAAGTAGATAAATGCATATTTTGATTACATAATTGATTACATGAACACACTTAAAATAGCACTATATCAAATAAGATATTAATATAAAGTTATGGCTTTCTTCCCTACTCATATTTTATGAAGCAATTTCCTTAAATCTTTCATGGACACCCTAGACATCACCATCTAGTGATCACAGCAGCCACTTCATGAGTCATCTAACAGTTTTCTAAAGCACATCATCTTCATATCTGTCTGCTTTTTGAAAAATAGCGTTTTTAAAAGCCTATATGATGCTGTCACTGGAAATTTTATCCCAAGCCATCACATTAGTAGTGCTGTTTTCTCTCACTCGCTTGTCTTTCAATAATGTTTTAGGTATAAGTTTTACCTGTTAGAAGACTTCTATCTGTGACTTTTCAAAAGTGATCTTTAAATGGGTTATTTTATTAGTATCCATCATTGGTAGATGTGACGTCCTAAATTTAAAAATAACTACTAATCCATCATGGAGTAAATTTTTCCTTTTTTAAAAAAAGTCCTTTTAGGTGACTTATAAAAGCATCCAAAGTCAGAAATAACTATGATTGTTTTAGAGAAATATTTTTCTCAAAAATTATTTGCTTCGTTTCCAAAATGGTAGTTGAATAAATAGAAAACAAGAAGTAAGTTTTGTAGCACAAGTAATTCAAATATAAGATAATTTGTTTTCTGTAGTGTATTTTTATAAAATTGTACCATGTTATGTGGACCTACAGAGTGGACAGTGATGGACCTTCTAAGGAATAGCTATCTCAGTCTGACGTGCTTTATGGAGAAGGCAGTTCTTGACTTGGATCTTGAGGAATGAATATGGTAAATCCAACCTGAGGGAAAATCTGCTCAGAGACGTGATTGAACAATCAGATCACAAAACAACAGACAGGTCTGTAAGGATGGGATCTCCTGTTCTGAGGGAGGGGAGGAACTGCAAAGAGAAGTGGAATAGAATAGGAGGCAGCTCAAAGACAGTTCAGTATGTCATTAAAAGTAGCTTTTGCTTCACTGGCACACAATAAAAAGTCTCTGAAGAATTTGTATACAGAAAAGTAGTATGATTAGACCTGGATGATATGTAGACAGAAGGAGGGAGATATTTAAAATTGGAGGTGGAAAAACAACTAGAAATAATTCAGAGGAAAGATTATAAACAGCTGAAATCAGACTTTGATAGTAGGCATGTGGAAGGGGAAAAAAGACTATGAATATATTCAGGGTATTCTGTGGTTAGGAATGTGAAGAACATATGGTATAAGGGATATTGAGGTAGAAATCTAAGGAATACTTTAGCCTCAACTTACTTCAGTTTGGGCTTTTTGGCGTTTTTTTTTTTTTTCTTGTAATCTGTAAAATGGTAATGTTAATGTTGACTTCACAAAGTTTAGGGAAAATCAAGACTGAGGCAGTGTGCGTTGAAAAAAATCTAGAGGAATGCATAGGACATGGTGGCTATCCAATAACTGCTAGCTTCCTAAAAGAATTTATTTATTTATTTATTTATTTATTTATTATTTATTTATTTATTTTTGAGACAGAGGCTCTGTCGCCCAGGCTGGAGAGCCGTGGCACGATCTTGGGATCTCGGCTCACTGCAACCTGCACCTCCTGGGTTCCAGCGGTTCTCCTGCCTCAGTCTCTGGAGTAGCTAGGATTACAGGCATTCTACCATGCCCAGCTAATTTTTGTGTTTTTGTGGTGGAGACAAGTTTTCACCATGTTGGCCAGGCTGGTCTTGAACTCCTGACCTCAAGTGATCCACCTGCTTTGGCTTTCCAAAAGCTGGGATTACAAGGGTGAGCCACTGTGCCTGGCCCATAATTTACTTTTATTAAGGCCCTTATTACATTCTATTTTGTATCACTGTCATTTAACAAGATGTCATTTTTCTCTACAATGTTACATGCATGTTTAGAGACTAACAGTGGCTATGTACTTTGCAGGGTATGTTTGCTAAATAAATATATTGAATAGATGAATGTGTTATAGATTACCATGCCAGTGGGATGTATTAAAGCAAGAAAAATTTATGTGAAAAAAATTTTAACTGATGAAGTGAAAAAAAAAAAAAACACTTCCCATTTCACTTTGATAGGATTTAGGGCTGAAGCTGGGATGTTAAGAAGAATGGGGATCTGGACACAACTCATTATGTGTTACATCTGCACAGAAGATAAAAATTCTGTCAGATATTTTTCTAATAGCAAGATACTGCTACTAGCAAAAATATTTAAGCACCATATTAAACTATTGTCTGAGTGGTAGTTTCTTATTAGAAATTTGTGCTTTTAATTATATAGTTCAAAACACAGGTGAATATCATCACAGTTTCAGGGCAGTCCACATTATTAAAAGTTTTCTTAGTTATCAGAAAATATTACTTCTATTGCTGCTCTCTAAGTTGTTACTGCAAATCTGAAGATTACACTTTGTAGTATTCTATTCGTAAAAATGTTTTAAATTACCAAAATATATGCCAGTTAGACTCTTCAAAGGTAACAGTGTAGACTCATTATGCTATTGAGACTGTCTCCTCTTTTATTTCTAAATAATAGTATGTTTATTTCTTCTTCAATAAACATTTATTGAACACCTATGCCAATTTTATTTCTGCAGTGTATCGTATGCAATAAGTACTGTCCTAGTTAGCTGGTGTTGCTATAACAAATACCATAAATAACATTTATCTCTCACTGTTTTGAAGACTGGGATGTTTGAAATAACTGCTCCAGTAGATCCAGCACCTGGTGAGGGCACTCCTCCAGGTTTGCAGTTGACTGATTTATCATTGTTTCCTCACTTAGCAGAGAGCAGAGAGCATGACCCAGCTCAGTGTTTCTTCTTCTGTGGAAGAAGAAGACACTGATCCCATTAATGAAGACTCTACCCTCATGACCTAATTGCTTCTCAAAGCCACACTTCCTAATACCATCACATGGGCGGGGGGGGTTAGGATTTCAACATATGAGTTTTGGAGGGATGCAAACATTTAGTCCATAACAAGCATTTTGCAAACGCTGCTTTGTTTAAGTCCACAATAGCCTTAAAGAGCACATGGTGGGCGGGGCGCGGTGGCTCACGCCTGTAACACTTTGGGAGGCAGAGACGGGCGGATCACGAGGTCAGGAATCGAGACCATCCTGGCTAACACGGTGAAACCCCGTCTCTACTAAAAATACAAAAAATTAGCCGAACGTGGTGGCGGGCGCCTATAGTCCCAACTACTCGGGAGGCTGAGGCAGGAGAATGGCGTTAACCCGGGAGGCGGAGCTTGCAGTGAGCAGAGATGGAGCCACTGCACTCCAGCCTGGGCGAGAGAGCAAGACCCTGTTTCAAAAAAAAAAAAAAAAAAAAAAAAAAAAAAACACAAATGGTGACTCTCTTTTACAGATGATAAAGCTGAGAGATAATGGTGAAGTAACATGAATAAAGATCATAAAACTGCCATGTGAAGAAGGCATGCTAAGACTGCCTTTCTCCCCAGGGTCCTGGCTGTGGACCCTTTGGAGTCCTGGCTATGGCTTTGGAGTCGAATACGACTCCAAAGGCCGTATTCGTAATAATTAATAAATATATTTATTCAGACGCTCAAAAGTATAGTGGTCATTGCTGCCTTTTAAACATTTAGTGCTTACTTTTGTCGTCTTTTCTATCTTATGGAAAAATAAGTGAAAAAAGTATCATAATTGTTTGCATGTTAGCTAATATATAGTCTTCCCCATATTTTTATTCATCATACTCTTTTACTTAATACCATGTAAAATTATATGTCTGAATAATTTCATTATGATTTAATAATGTATTAACATTCCATGTTGTCTTATTTGAAATTTTGAATGCTTACATGAATTTATCATTTTTTTGTTTTTTTATCAACGTATGAGTTTTAACAGACTTAATTATTGTCTATCATCATTTGCTGACTTTAAAAATTGTGGTTTCAAAACCTCCAAAACACTGATTGTCACAATTAATATTTGTCCTACACTTTATTCCTACATCTGTCCTCACTTTCCATACCACAGGAAGCAGATGTCATGAACAAAGAAAATTGATGGCAATCAAAGTTCTACCAATGTTCTATGCTAGACATCAAACTCTTGGCATCTCTGAACATGACCTTGTCATCTATAGAGGTACTTTATTTTTACCTCACTCAGAGTCACAAAAATTAGAGTGAGGCAGTTTAGCTGAACCAAGTTTACTTTGTCTTCAGTTGGCTAGGTCAAATTTTGTATCAAGTATAGCTAAATTGCATAAGAATAATTGACTGTCCTAACCTCTCTGACTTTAAAATAAACTTCCTTATAAGACACTTTAACATAAGCAGGTGCTCTCCAAAATAAAAAGGCATTTTTAAACAAGTGTAACCAGTAAATTGGAGAATATTATATGGCATAATTATTGTATACAAAATCATTTATCCAGTGCCTACTGTTTATCAAACTCCAGTAAAAAATAAGACAAAGTGGCAGTCTTACCGCTATTCTTATTTACTATTTTTCCGTTTACTGTTTCCTCCACTTGATTATATGCTCCACAAAGTCAGAGACACTTAGTTTCATTGTCACATTTTCAAAGCCAAGAACCTATTATGTCTGGGGTATAGTATGCATTTAATATTGTTTGATTCTTTGAGTAAAAGAATTTAAAATTGCCCTGTCATTATGGCTTATCTTTCTTTACCACCACATCCAAAATAAAATCTTGTATCTCAATAAAATGACTACTCCAATTAAGGGAGCTGTTCACTAACAGAAAATGGATTAATTGCCAGCCTTTAGGACTTTTTAAAAAAAACCTATTACATTTGCTTTATAAGTAATTATTATTTCAAGTAGTAATGGAGAATGATAATGTAGAGGACAGAAAGTTTTTACAAAAATTAAGGAGGTCTTCAAATACCAATCCTAATTCAAAATGAATTATATTCTGAGAGAATGTGACAAACCATGTGTTTGAAATTTAATCAATATTTATGTCTTTAATAAAGGCTGATGTTTGCTTTGAAGCATTAAGATAGTAATCTAATATAATGAATACAAATAGCAATGAGGTACCTAGATTTGGGGGGTAAAAAAAGAAAAAAAACATAGATTTTCTAAAGAAAAATAAAAACTATTCCAGTTATTGGGTCATGATCATATTTGTGTATCTCATTTAGTAAAGAAAGTTATTAGCGTTATACTGAAATCAGCATGTTTATTTTCAGCTCTAGTCAAATGTATATGAAGGCTTTTGTACATTTACAATACCACTAAGTAAAATTTCTTTAAGTAGGTTATCGAAACTTATTTTTAATGAACTTTTTTGGGGTAAGATTTTCTCCAATCTAATAACTAGTTACTCTATACATTTAAATTAAAGTGTGAATTTTGAAAAAGAAGAGAGAAAACTTATAAATGAGTAAAGTTTATCATTGTTCTTCTGATTACAATTCTTGAAATGTCTTCATATTCTGCAAATTAATATATACTACTAACTACTAACAGGTGCAATTCTCACTACATAATTTCTTATATTTATAACATAAACCCCAGAAATAATATTAAACTTGTAATTTTCTGGTCATACCGAAATTGTCTAAACTATAATCTTCTCTAAAGCAGTGGATGTGTGGAATATAAATGACAAACGTTCACACATTAAAGATTATAGCACTGGAATTTTCCTAATTCATAATCTGAGCAGTGGTCCTGTTTCTGGCCAAAATGGAGGTACCTGGTATAGGGAAAAAATGGTTAAGTAGAGAGATTCAAATAGTTTTCCTACGTTGACAGTCATTTCCTAACATTTTTATTTATCTTTAAAATAAATAAACTTTAAAATTTGATGTTTGACACTGAATATAAAGCAAATAATTTCTTGGCGCTATTTTGGAAATTCTGTACCATCCTTTGCCTCATTATCCTGGGTAGCTGAGAATTAGCTCTGGCTTATAGGAGATTCCAACATAGACCAATAAAATCAATGACAAAAATAATTTTATATTAAGAAATTTTAGTAATAAAATTGATGTGTATCATGTTTTCATCTATTTTGGAGCTCAGTTATAAAGATTATTTAGAAAATAAAGAATAAAATACCTCATGAACATTCTTAGGTTTGCAACCAGTATTTAATTAACATTAAATATAATGTGATAATTAAATAGAGAAAACTGCATCATACATATAGATATACACCATCAAAATTGCATTATTTTTTGAAAATTTTAAGTGAGAGAAGTACAAATAATTGAATTAACTAGGTTGAAAATATGTCAGTACAATTTCAAATATCTATTTAGTCAATAATGTAAATTCTGAAATGAAACATAATAAAATATGGGTCTTTACTGGGAAATAACCAAATAAGTTAAGAAAATGAGAAAACATTAATGAAAATGTAGTTTAAGGTCAGGACCTGAACCTGCTTTTCATACCACTTCCTTCATAGATTATGCAAAAGTACAGAACCTAGTTTGTTTTTCAAATTTTTATAAAAGGTAAGGCATGAAAATGATATTTTTCAGGTGTCTTGTGAATATAAAAAGAAGAAAATTGACTTAACAAACACAATATATAACATTTTCTAATATGCCAATATTTTATATATATATGATTTAATTTAATTCAAAGCTAAAGTTATATGTATATGGAGAGAGAGAGAAGGAGAGAGACTATAATTACATATAAAAATCTTGTAAATGGTGGTGAAGCATATACATATAAGTTTGTCATCACATTGTCCTATTTTATTGTTTTGTATGTTTTAACAAATTTGTATGTATGTATGTATGTGTGCCTGTCTATGTATTTTTCAGGAAGGGGAAGGTGTTACATATTTTTAGAAAGCTATGCAAGCAATGTAATCAGGCTACCAAAAGGCAGGAACTTCAGTTTGGCCCTGGACTGGAAGTTTAGATGGAACTCAGTGTTGTTTGGGGATCCTTACCTTCTATTGAGTGTTTTGATTTATTAGCAAGCAGACATAAGCTTTTCAACAGTAATTGGTTCTGAATTAAGTTTGCTATGAGATTCCAAAGACTTTTTTCAATTTAGTTCATTAAAATTATTTTTAAATCAACTATTAAGGCTTACAATAATAATATTACTGTTGTTGGTGGTAAACTTTAGTAACATCATTTCAACATTGAAGTAACTAACCCATTGACAACATGGGTTTTACCCCACTGAAATTTTTATATTTTGAGATGGAGTCTCGCTCTGTCACCCAGGCTGGAGTGTAGTGGCATGATCTCGGCTCACTGCAACCTCTACCTCCTGGGTTCAGACAATTCTCCTGCCTCAGCCTCCCAAGTGGCTGGGATTACAGGCACGTGCCACCATGTGCAGCTAATTTTTGTATTTTTACTAGAGATGGGCTTTTCCCATGTTGGCCAGGCTGGTCTCAAACTCCTGACCTCAGGTGATCCACCCAATTCAGCCTCCCAAAGTGCTGGGATTACAGGCATGAGCCACTGTGCCTGGCCTAAAATTTTGTTTGTTTGTTTGTTTGTTTTGAGATGGAGTCTCACTGTAATGCCCAGGCTGGAGTGCAGTGGCATGATCTCGGGTCACTGCAACCTCTGCTTCCCAGGTTCAAGCGATTCTCCTGCCTCAGCCTCCCGAGTATCTGGGATTATAGTAGCTCACACCATACCCAGCTAATTTCTGTATTTTTAGTAGAGACGGGGTTTTCAAACTTCTGACCTCAAGTGATCCACCTGGCCTCCCCAAATGCTGGGATTACAGGTGTGACCCATTGCGCCCAGACTGAAATTTTAACCCATTAAAAACATGGTCCATTCTTGCATTGCTATAAAGAACTATCTGTGACTGAGTAAGGTATAAACAAAAGAGTTTGAGTTGACTCAGAGTTCTGCAAGCTTTACAGGACATATGGATGGGAGGCCACAGAAAACTTACAATAGTGGTGGAAGGCAAAGGGGAAGTAAGCATGTCTTACCGTGGTGGAGCACAACAGAGAGCACAAAGGGAAAAGTGCTACACACTTTTACACAACCAGATCTTGTGAGAACTCATTCACTATCACAAGAACAGCAAGACAGAAGTCTGCACCCCTGATCCAATCACCTCCCACAAGGCCTTTTTTGCAAAAGTGGGATTACTATTTGACATGAGATTTGGGCAGGCACACAGACCCAAATCACATTAATCTGCCCCTGGCCTCTTCCAAATCTCATGTCCCTCTCCCATTTCAAAATACAATTATGCCTTCCCAACAATCCCCCAAGTCTTAACTCATTCCAGCATTAACGCAAGTGTCCAAAGTTCAAAGTCTCCTCTGAGACGAAGCAAGTCCCTCCACCTATGAGCCTGTAAAATAAAAAACTAGTTACTTCCAAGATACAATGAGGGTACAGGCATTGGGTAAATGCTCACTTTCCAAAAGGGAAAAATTGGCCAAAACCAAGGGGCTACAGGCCCCATGCAAGTCCAAAACTGTGAGAAACACAGTCACTCATCCAAACCCAAAGAATGGACTTAGAGGCACGAAGAACAGTTAAAGTGAGACTGTTTAATAACCGTCTTGCAAGATTGTGTGTCTGGTGGGCAGGCACACCCGGGACAGTCACAAGTGGTAATTTATCTCCTAGCATGCAAGTCCCTCCCCTAGTTCCTCATTGGTTGAGTGCTGTGGGGTTACAGTCTTCCCAGAGGTCAAGTTTCATTATCCCCCTTATAAGGTTATACCCTGCTCCCCTTCTCCACTTAAGTTTCCATATCCCAATAAAGAATCTTTCTTCCTTTTTATGGGCTGACCCCTCCTCTGCATTCTGTTTGCTTATTGTGACCTTCTAGGTGCACGAGCCATGCAGTTTGTTACGTTTTGCAGACTGGCGACTGGCTGCCAGTACTTAGATTTATCATACCTTGAAAATGGACCATTTAAAATGCTTTCTCACAAAAATCCAGCAGAGCAGTCATTAAATCTCAAAGATCCAAAATAATCTCTTTTTGACTCTGTGTCTCACATCCATGCCACACTGATGCAAGAGGTGGGCTCCTAAGGCCTAGGGCAGCTCTACCCCTGTGACGATGCAAAGTACGGCCCCCACTAACTGCTTTCACAGGCTCACATTGAGTTCCTGTGGCTTTGCCAGGTACACAGTGCAAGCTGTCAGTAGAGGTATTATTTCTGGGTTCTGGGGGACAGATGGTGACCCTTTTCTTATAGCTCCACTAGCTATTGCCCCAGTGGGGACACTGTGTGGGGTTCCAACCCCACATTTCCCATTTGCACTGCCCTAGTAGAAGTTTTCCATGAAGGCTCTGCCCCTGAAGCAGACTTGTGCCTGGATATCCAGGCTTTCTGTACATCCTTTGAAATCTAGATAGAGGCTCCCAAGCCTCAACTCTTGACCTCTGTGCATCTGCAGGCTTAACACTACATGGAATCCTTGGTAGCTTCCAGCTTGCACCCTCTGGAGCAGTGGCCCGAGATGTATCTGGGGCCCTTTTAGCTATGGCTGAAGCTGGAGCAGCTGGAACACAGGGAGCAGTGTCCCCAGGTGGTGCAGAGCAGCAGGGCCCTAGGCCTGGCCCACGAAACCATTCTTCCCCCCTGGGCTTCTAGGCCTGTGATGGGAGAGGCTTCCATGAAGGTCTCTGAAATACCTTGGAGGCATTTTCCCCATTGCCTCAGTTATTAACTGCAGCCAGCTTGAAACCCTCCCCAGAAAATGGGCTTTTCTTTTTTTCCTACTACACGATTAGACTGCAAATTTTCCAAACTTTTATGCTCTGCTTCCCTTTTAAATACAAGTTCTAGTTTAAGGTCATTTCTTTGTTTATGAACAAAAACATATGCTTTTAGAAGCAGCCAGGCTGCCTCTTGAATACTTTCCTGCTTAGAGATTTCTTCTGCCTGGTACCCTAACTCATGTCTCATAAGTTGAAATTTCCACAGATCTCTAGAGCAGGGGCACATTAACATCAGTCTCTTTGTTAAAGTGTAGCAGGAGTGACCTTTGCTCCAGTTGCCAATAAGTTCCTGATCTCCATCTGAGTCCTCCTAAGCCTGGACTTCATTGTCCATATCACTATCAGCATTTTGGTCACAAGAAGTTAACAAATCTCTAGGAAGTTCCAAGCTACCCCATACATTTCTGTCTTCTTTTGAGCCCTCCACACTCTTCCAGTCTCTGTCCATTACCCGTTCCAAAGTTGCTTCCACGTTTTCAGGCATCTTTATAGCAACGGCCCACTTCTCTAATACCAATTTTCTGTATTAGTCTATTGTCACATTGCTATAAAGTACTACCTGAGACTGGTAATTTATAAACCAGAGGTTTAATTGACTCACAGTTCTGCAGGCTGTAGGGGAAGAATGGTTGGGGAAACCTCAGGAAACTGACAATCGTAGTGGAAGTTAAAGAGGAAGGAAGCACATCTTACATAGCCGGAGCAGGAGGAAGTTAGCGGGGAAGGTGCCACAAACTTTTAAAGGAACAGGTCTTGTGAGAACTCACTCACCAGCATGAGAAAAGTAAGGGGGAAATCAGCTCCCATGATCCTGTCTCTTCCCACCGGGTCCCTCCTCCAACATTGGGAAATACAATTTCACATGAGATTTGGGTGGAGATACAGACCCAAACTATGTCACATGGGTTAAAGAAATGCTTCACAAAATTAGTAGAGCAGATAAAACACCCACTTAGGTTAAGCGCCCCTCAAATACTAAATTCCTCTATGCAAATTCCTACACACGTTCCTGGACAGCAATCTTAGTGATTTGACTGAGTACAGTGCACTATTCAATAATAAAATTCATATATATATATATATATATATATATAAAATCAGGTAAACTCTCTATTTGTGTTAATTTGAATCAAAACTAATTGTACATTAAGAATGTTCTTCATCTAGGGTGGGTGCAATGGCTCACACCTGAAATCCCAGCGATTTGGGAGGCTCAGGTGGGCTGATCACTTGGGGAGTTTGAGACCAGCCTGACCAACATGGTGAGACCCCATCTCTACTAAAAAAAATACAAAAATTAGCCGGGCATGGTGGCATGTGCCCGTAGTCCCAGCTACACAGGAGGCTGACTCACGAGAATCCCTTGAACACTAGAGGCCAAGGTTGCAGTGAGTTGAGATCGCGCCACTGCACTCCAGCCTGGGTGACAGAGAGACTCCTGTCTCAAAAAAAAAAAAAAAGAGGAATATTCATCATCTTAAAAAATATATGAAATAGTCATACAGCCACAGGAAGTGATTCGAAGAAACTCACTGGACAACAGTTGAGACTATTTTTATATTAAAAATAATGACAACAATTGGATGATAATATACTAAATTTTTAAGAAGTATATTAAAATGTATAATGACTATTGATAATGAGACACAGGGAGACAAAGAAACAACATCAAAAGTTCATCTTTAGAGAAAATTGCTGGCTAATAAATATAGAAAATGTTGAAATTAAAAAAATCACTTTTGAAATACCCTGTAAAACAACAAATTCTACCTGCAATTATCAGTAGATGCTAAAACCATTGTATGAAATGTTGGTGAGAAATAAGTTATTCACAAGGTTTTAAATATGTCTCCTGAGAGATTACTAATACACAGGGGGAAAATGTACCTTCTAAATAGAGATTTGTTGCCCCTCATGTCAGTGATCTAGTCTATAATTACCAATACTGGCAAAACTTGCATTGTGTTTCTTACAAAATATTTCTGCTACACAAAACTGATAAAACTACATCTGACATGAGGAAATAATCTTTAAAACACTGAATGTAGAATATACTTCAAGATGCTTAATCTGGATTCTTTAATAAAGTAATTTTATTTAAACATATAAAACTAGGGTATTAATCTAGATTAAACTACATTAAAGATAAATAAGGCCGGGCGTGGTAGCTCATGCCTGTAATCCCAGCACTTTGGGAGGCTAAGATGGGTGGATCACCTGAGGTCAGGAGTTTGAGAACAGCCTGGCCAACATGGCAAAATCCCATCTCTACTAAAAATACAAAAATTAACCAGGCGGTAATCCCAGCTACTTGGGAGGGTGAGGCAGGAGAATCGCTTGAACCTGGGAGGCGGAGGTTGCAGTGAGCTGAGAACGTGCCACTGCACTCCAGCCTGGGCGACAGAGCGAGACTCTGTCTCAACAACAACAACAACAACAAAAAGTAACAACCAAATGCAATGGGCATATCTTGAATTAGAAAAGCAAGAGAAAAAGGAGAAAGCAGTAGCAGTGGTAGCAGCAACTGCTGCTGTAAAAGGTATTTTGAAGGCAATAGTCAAAGGAGCTTGTTTGAATACGTAAACCAAATTAAATTACACTTTAACATTATTCTCAATTTTTATAGGATTATAGCTAATTTTCTTAGATACAATAATGCTTCTGTGACTATATAGGAAAATAAGGTTAGACAATTCATACTGAGGTATGCATGGTTTCCATATCATGAATTCTAAAACTTGGAAATTTATTAATATATATATATATAATGTATATGTGAATAGTTATATAAATATGGTATACATATATCTTTATATATAGATATATAAATAGTAGCTGAAGTATTTGAAAGATCTATATATGTATATGTGTAAGAGATTATGAAATATTAAAATTTGTTAAATTTTGGTAAAGCATATATAGATCTTATATTATTCTTCTCAATAACTTATAAGGTTGAAGTATATTAATATTAACACGAATTTTTAAAATTTTGTGTATTTGAAATTGACATGAAGTGTAACAATTTCTCTTTAATGCATTCAATTCTGTTGTTTCATTTCAGCAAATTTGCTACAAAAATATTTACTCCCTGATTCCTCAAATTTTGTGAGATACTCATAAATAAGTTGTCTAAGTTGTTGTGTAAAATTGAGCACTTATATGCCTTTTTAATTGCTGTATAATATTTCCACAAACTTCCTATAAACAGAGATATAAAAGAGTCAAAATAATATACTTTAATCATAACATGTATTTTTATGGTACTGTGTTAAATAAGGAGATGCTTAACATTGAAGGTAGCTGGTTTGACTTTCTTTTTTTTTTTTTTGAGAGGAGTCTTGTTCTGTCGCCAGGCTGTAGTGCAATGGCGCGATCTCAGCTCACTACAACCTCCCTGGCTCAACTGATTCTCCTGCCTCAGTCTCCTGAGTAGCTGGGATTCCAGGCACGCACCACTACACCCAGCTAATTTTTGTATTTTTAGTATAAGAGACAGGGTTTCACCATGTTGGCCAGGATCGTCTGGATCTCCTGACCTTGTGTCTGCCTACCTCGGCTTCCCAAAGTGCTGGGATTACAGGAGTGAGCCACTGGTTTGACTTTCTTAAAGACTGTGTTTCATTTGCTTTATCATTAGGGAATAAAAAATATGTTGTTAAAAATTAGAGAAAGTAGTAAACTATGAAAATCAAAGAATATAGAAAGTAATTACATACACTTGATAGTATGACATAATATATACAGTTGATTTATTACAATAACTGAATAATGATATAGTCAAAACCACCAAAGAATATATAAAGCTAAGGTTTGAGTAGGCATCCAAGTTAGTGAAACTTGTTATCAGCCCAAACTGGCAGATAGATGGATATTTATTATTCACCTACCATCTCTGTGCCAAGGAAACATAGTTTATAGGATTCCAAGTTTCATATTTATTTTGACAGCTCTCCTAGAAAAATTCCCCTGAAGCAACAGTCTATTCTTTTTAAAATTTCTGAGCCTATTTCCTCCCTGACAATCTCCCAGTATCAAGGTCCATGCATGATAAAGCACTATAGCAGGCTTTCTCAGTGTTGAGTTCCAACAATAGAGGACTCTCTATTTTCACTTTGTGAGCCTTTCCATTCCACATGCTGTTCATAGACCACAGGGATCTACATTTTAATTCTCCTTTGTCATAAATAGTAACATAATGTATTTTATCTGATACCACTGGATAAATATTTCTAAAACTCTTGCTTATCATGCCACATTCCTGATTACAACCTACACCAACACCTTATTACCTATTGGATAAAAACAATAGATTTAAATAACCTTATCTGGTATCTTATGCCCCTGCCATTGAGTTCTAGTCACAGATGCACCTCATCTAATTTTTAAAATATTTTTCACTGCAATCAAGTATTTTTATTCCTTCCTGACCACTCACAACAAACAACTGAAAGTTTCTACATATTTTTGGAAATACTGATATCCTCCATCCTTTTGATCTTGTTTCTTGCTATTTAAAAACCAGACCAGTTCTCTCAATTTTGTGAAAATTTCTCTAATCATCTAAAGCCCAAATCCTATATATTTTCACCAACACTAATCATTTGGAATATATTATTCAATTTATTAATGCTATCTAAGTCATATATATATTATTAGGATGCTTATAACATAATCAGGAAGCTATTGGTTTTATTACAAAAAATAGCCTCCAATTTTTACCTAATTTCTACATTGTTTGTAGAATAATCTCCTCACTTTATAAAAATCTCAGTATTGTTCAAGTCATAATGAGTTAAACATATTCTTTCCAGACTAGAAATTGGAACATACCTTTCATTAAATATATTCTTTGTTACTTACCGGTACCGTGTCACAAAGTACATAAAAAAAATTCCTGGAAGAATAATATCTTCCCTTTCCCAATGATATAGTATTTTAAGATTAGGAAAAAAATAATTGAATAGTAATGCTACATATAGTCTAAACTCTTCTAAATTATTATATTGCTTCAAATGAGTTTATTTTTGGTATAACATCTGGACAACTAAAATTATCATAAAATTAGAAAGCATTATGCATTTAATAACGGTCGTGACTTTCTATTTTTGTTCAGTATGGGCACACACAAAAAAGGATAGTTTTTATCCAAACACTTTGCTAATAACTCTGGCTTTAATTATGTTTAAACTGAACAATATCTTGTCTGATTGCAGTATAAAGATAATTATTCTGAAATGAACAAAGAAATTTTCATTGTAAAATAATATAATTTACAAAATCATTCACAAAATCATTCATTGTAGAAATGTAAAAGATTGCTGACCTCTCCATTTCAGGTATAGTCTAGGAACCAACTCCTTGTAGGTTATACATTCAGATAACAATGTTGGTCTTGGTATATAAATGCACAGAAAGTTGTGTTAATAATCCAGTAATTATTTAACTTTTTCTATATATGTATTCTTAAAATCTTCCCACCAGGGTAAATTATGGAGTCATGAATCATGAACCAGATTGCGCTAATAGCTAGATAGCTTTTAGTTTTAAGTTGCCTATTATTTCTTAGAAATAGCAGAGAAAGTTTGATTTAGTGTAAAAGTATTCACTTGGCCTGTGAGAATTAATGACCTGTCTCAAAAATGTAATTTAACTTTTCAAATTATTTGGCTTAATTCACACCCACACATTTAGTCATAGATACTTCGCAAACCCTGTAGGTAATTGCATTGATATTTATTAGAACATATCCAAGCAAATTCCATTTTTCTTCTTGCTAGAGACAGTACTGAGTATATTAAAAATAATTTCACCTAAATAGATTACCCAGTGACTTGGCTTTTATGTTTTGGAGTCTATGCTTTCTTTCTGTTGTAATATTTAGACAGTGACATGAGTGTTATATTTAGAGTAAAAATACTGATCAAGAATATGAAAATTTACCCCCACAAAAGATGCTAACTGAAAAAGTAATACATTGAAACTAACTTGCAATAGTTGTTTTATATATAATATTTGACAAAGTATACCCTTCACTGGAGCCTTTCATTTTGCTAACCATATAGCAAATGGTTATTTGCTATATATATGTATATATATATGTGTACATATATATGTATATATATATGTGTACATATATATGTATATATATATGTGTACATATATATGTATATATATGTGTACATATATATGTATATATATGTGTACATATATATGTATATATATGTGTACATATATATGTATATATATGTGTACATATATATGTATATATATATGTAGTTTCATTTTGATAACCATTTTGTCACCTTAATTTGTCTCGTTTCTTTACAAGTATATTTTATAGAACAGATAATCTAGTGTTGTCTGGACACATTGGCCATGAGGTTCTTTAGCCCAGTTCGTTTTTCCTGGATCTACTTAAAACAATTCAGGTTATTAAAGATATATATTTTTAAATTTAAAATGCCTGAACCACTTCATAGACTCAGACAGACTAGCCATAAAAACAAACCTAAAAAGTGTGTTTATTATTGTTGCATGGCACAGTCCTCAATCTCCTTTAACTTTTCTTCCATGTTATCCAATCCCAGGCACTCCAACAACAACAAAAATATATATGGAAGCTTGAACTCTAGGTTCAAAATACAATAGATGTCTTTCATCTTGTTTTCTCAGCCATATGCTACATATTTTCATTTTCTACTCTTCTTTATTATCTTTAATTTCCTGGAATAATACATGAAATTTTTTAAAGTCATTGTTTTGCTTTTTTTTTCTGTCTCTCTGGCTTCTTGGTCTAATTCTCTCATGCTGACTTCCTCTAACTGACATGTGGCTGTTCCCTTTCTTTAGAGGTCTGTCTTCTCTTGTTATCTAATAACCTTTCTTGAGGATCCCATGCAATCTCAACCTTGAACTGATAACTTTAAGATAACAATTCCTAAAGGTTTATCTCAGTGTGGACCTTACATCTGATTTCCATAACTGCATATTCAAATGTCGAGAGCATTTGAAATTTTTGCAAGGGTCTTATATAGGCATTTCAAAACTAATATCTAATAAATATACACTTTATTTCAATTTCTGAATGTGCTTCTGCTTCTAACTTTCCATTTTCAGTAGACGACACCTCTCTATTCACCTAGTGGCTGATGGTAGAATCTTCCCTCATTAAGAATTTCCAAATTGAATTCAAGATTATGTTCCATTAAGTCTACTACCATAATTTATCTTAAATCCATCTACGGTCTCTCTTTGTCTGTTGGAACCATTATTTGGTTCTAAATGCATATTGACTCCCTTAGAAGTGAGTTTTGAACTGTGTGGGAGTGTTTTGCTTATCACTGTAAGTTGTCAGAGGAACAGTTCATTATTTTATAGAGATAACAAAAATGCTGAACACCCTGCAACATACAGCATAATTGTACACAATAAAGATATTTTTCTACCACTGAAATTATTTTAATAAAGAGAATTTTATATAAAAATTAGTTAAACAGGTGTAGGAGGATTTAAAGAACTATACAAGCTAACAGAGGATACTGAAGTAGTGCAGAAATCACTACTGTAGAGAGTGACTCCCACCTGTAGAGCTGGAGAAACAAAGGGAAATAGTTCTGGTTATTAGAATATAAAGTTTAGAGGTAGATCCTCATGGAAGTCACACAATAAAGAAGAGAACCTGCCCAGTTGGTGCTGGTACCTCAGGAACTCAGAAGAGGAGCTGGACTCAAACATCTGAGAAGGGGAATCTTCTCTACCAGGAAAGCCCAATGAGGCTGGTTCTTTGAGAGCTTGAAAGAAGCTAGAAACTGGAACCAACTGTCGCCTGGGTGAAGTGCCTATTTTCCAGGTGATGCAGATGGGAAGATTTCCCTTTGCTTGTATTCTAAGCACCCTGATGCCTTCTGTTGGTAGAACCTTGCAGAGGGCCACTAGCAAAGGAAAAATGTAGTTTGAAGCCTCCCAGTTCCAGAATCATCTAACATTACTTGGAATGGCAACTTGGAAGTTTAGTGACAGTCGTCATTCTATGTTTTCTATCATGTCAACTATCCAGACTATAGACTCTCTCATTTCTACTGTCATCTTTAAAAATCATTGATCACATGTCACTATTAAACCTTAGTTGTTGTCCCTTTGACATATAATAAAATACAAACCCCTAATTAGCAGGACTCTTATTAGGAAGTAC
The DNA here is from genome assembly GCF_000001405.40 of Homo sapiens. NCBI lineage: Eukaryota > Metazoa > Chordata > Mammalia > Primates > Hominidae > Homo > Homo sapiens. Next base: position 85,491,041 of record NC_000013.11, read on the forward strand.
CTTCCTTGCGCCCATCTATCTCTTGTACTATTCTTTCCTTCAATTACTGTGCTACAATTATAGGATCTCTTCTCTAATCCTGCAACGGTGACAGCATCTTTCTTGCTCAGATATAAATTTTTTCAATAGTTTCAGGAGAACTTCTACTCATATTTCTTCACTGTCAAATGAAGTGTAACTTCTAATGAGTGGTTTTCCCTGATCTCTCAATCCAAGTAAGAATCCCATTGAGTTTTCTGTATGAGGACTTTCATAAACGTGCATTGTAATATCATATAATTTGTAATTATGTATTCACACAGATGACTATATTATGTCACGGACACCACAACTCCATGAAGGCATAGACTACACCAGTTTTGTTCAGTATCTAGCAGAATGTCTGGTTTGTAGTAGGTGTTCCTTATGTATTTTCCTAATAAAACTAATAAAATAATTACTTGTGATGAATAAAAAGGAGTAAAAAAATATTTGGTATTTTGCTTTTGTACTCACTTTTGAGGTTATACTGGTCAAGTATTTTCCTCTTTCTGGCAGGTTCCTTCAAAGGACTCCTGAAATCTCTCCAGAGATACAGTTCAGTCAGTGAAAATTTTTGATATTTCTGTTTCAAATTTCATAGTTTGAAGTCTCTTCCTCTTGATCAGAGCTCTCTTTCGTAATACTTCAACAAATGGAACATTTCTGTAAGATAAGACATAAATTCTTAGAATAAGATGAATATTAACATTATTTTTTACATTCATTTCAGATTAAAAGTTCATTACATATCATTAAGATGTATTACATCATTGGCAACACCTGTGGCCCAGGCTGATCTTGGACTCCTGAGCTCAAGCGATCTGCTAGCCTTGGCCTCCCAAAGTGCAGAGATTACACCTGTTAGCCACTGCGCCCAGCCAAAAGGTTTTAAACAGTAAGGTTTTACAATAAAATTAAGCTAATACACACAATATTAACACCAGATAGAAAGTTCTATAAAAGACTTAAAGATATCTTCTTTATGTAAGATTATTCTTTTGGAAATATTGAAAAATATAAATACAACCTGAATGACTAAAACTATATCTATAATAGCAAATCTCTATGCAACAAGGCACATAACAAAATAATGCACTTGATTATCTCTCTTTATTCCAAAATATTTTGACATTGTAACCTATTTGTTTAGGTACAGAACAGTGGTAGTATTCTCATATTTCAATAGGTGGCCAATCACTTGCAGAAGCAAGTTTTCTTTAATCACTTCAGGGCGGACACACTCAGGTTCTAAATAAAACCAGTGATGCAGTCTTTTCTGCAGGCTGTGGTATTCTCAATGAAACACAGCTTACACTTAACACTGAAACAATCGCCAGAGTAGCTCCATGTCAGCGGCACTTAACAGGGTCGATGGAACATGCTGCCCCAGCTCACTCTATTTCTTGTTTCACAACATTGCTAAATTGAATGTCAGGAATGGAGTAGGTTTCTCAAATGTTAAACATAGAGTCACCATGTTTCCCAGCACTTCCTTTACCAAGTAGTTGTCCAAGAGATTAGTAAACATATGTCCACAAGAAAAAGAAAACATTCTACTATTCACAGCAACATTATTTATAATAGCCAAAAAGTGGGAGCTACCCAAATGTCTGCCAAATAATGAATGGATATATCCAGGATATATCCATACAATTGATTATTTTTTAGTAACAGGGAAAAGTACTGATATGTGCTATAGGCATAGATGAACCTTGAAAACACCGTGGTAAGTTAAAGAAGCCAAATACAAAAGCTGCAATTCCTTAATGTGAAGTGTCCTAACAGAGCAATTCATAGAGACAGTAAGTACGTTATTAGTTGCCAGGAACTGAGGAAAGGGCAACACAGAGAATGTCTGCTAATGGATACAGGATTTCTTTTTGCGATTATGCCAATATTCTGGAATTAGAAAATGGTGATAATTGCCCAATTTTGTGAATATTATAAAAAGGACTGAATGTGCATTTTAAAAGTGTGAATTTTATGGTATGCAATGTATCTGAGTATCAAAAATTATAAAAGAAATAAGAATGGAGGCCAGGATTCATATTAGGATAGAATTACAATGGTTTCTTTAGGAAATGAGAATGGCCAGAACACATGAAGTGAAGTCACTGAGGTAGAAGTAAGAGGGTTGAGATATATTTTAAAAGCAAAACTAATAGTTCAGGTTCAGAAATTGCTATTAATTAAGAATTCCATTTCTTTCTGTTTTTACCTTTAAATTTTTTTCAAACTTCAGCTTCCATTTTCCTTGTACCAGAAATTTCACGGCTGGGCGCGGTGGCTCACGCCTGTAATCCCAACACTTTGGGAGGCCGAGGCGGGCGGATCACGAGGTCAGGAGATCGAGACCATCCTGGCTAACACAGTGAAACCCCATCTCTACTAAAAATACAAAAAAATTAGCTGGGCGTGGTGGCAGGAGCCTGTAGTCCTGGCTACTCGAGAGGCTGAGGCAGGAGAATGGCGTGAACCCAGGAGGCAGAGCTTGCAGCGAGCCGAGATCGCGCCACTGCACTCCATCCTGGGTGACAGAGCGAGACTCCGTTTCAAAAAAAAAAAAAAAGAAATTTCACAAAACTTAGCCAACAATTTTTGCCTTTGCTCTTTCTTCTTACTATAGTGTCTTCAAGACTATCTCTGTCTTAGTATTTTGAGACGTAAATTAAAATCAAACTTTTTGAAAACTTCATTTAATATAGACCTCTCCCTTCTTCCTATAAAGGTGACTTTTCCTGCTTTCTCAATGCCTCTATGGTTACCATCCCATGTTGCTATATCACTTAGACAATAAGAATGTATTCACTTGATTTATCAACCACAGATTATGAACATTGCAGCAGACACTACACATCTTTTACTTTTGATCACCTTCATTCTCAACTAACTCAACAGGAGATGCTAGATACATATGGTTGCATAATATCATATGGATAAATAAGAGCTGAGTCAATGACAAATATTTTCTTCACACTATAATTTGTATTCTTATTATACTGCAACAGTATGCATTGATCTTGACTATTTGTGGATTTTATGGTTACAAATTTACCTGCTTCTTAAAATGTATTTATAACCATAAGTAATATTCTCAGTGATTTAGTGGTCATTTGGGTACATGCACAGTGGTGAAACGTTTGAGTCACACAGTTCTCCCATTTCCAACTGAAGTTGATGATGGTCTGCCTTTGTTCTTTAGCTCTCATATTATAAACAAGTGGACTGCTCACAGACTGCTTAGTAGCACATTTTTCAAATTTGTGTGCTGTTTGTTGGTGATTTAACTGGTTCAAATGACCCCAAACATAGCAAGGTAAAGGTAGTGTTCCTAAGAAATCTGCGATGTGCCTTATACAGAAAAAATAAAAGCTTTGTCTAGGCATAAGTTATAGTGCTGTTGGCTGTTAGTTCAATGTTAATAAATCAACAATATATATTAAATAAGGTGTCATTAATCAGAAAGACACATACAACAAGTTTATATATTAATTGGTTGATGAAAATGTGATCAAAGGCTAACAGGAGCCTATCTGTATTTATTCTGTTAGCAATTGTTCAATATTTATTTATTCAGTGTTTGCAGTGACTTTCTAACACATAATTACTGTGAATAACAATAATTGTATGTTATAGAATTTGGGAAACAATTCTGTCTTTGAGCCTCTATACATCTTGTAAGCAAAGGCACCGACTGCCTTTTGTTCCAGAGTATCTCTTCAAAAATGTTTGTTTACCAGTTGAAGAAGATACAATTTCCGCCTGAGCAAATGGCAGGCATACTTACTGCCTGCTATAAAAGATGTGAGTTCCCTAAGCTGAGTTTCCCTCTTGTGTAACATCACCTACTACACATGCAGACATCTACCTGGGACCCGTGTGTCACCCTGTTAGACTTGAGGGGAAAACAAACTGACACATATTTTTTGACAGTGATTCTGTTTACTGTGCCTTATAAATAAAGTCTATTGGCCCTGCCCCAAGAAATGCTGGTCTTCTGCCAGTGTCCAAGAAACTGTGAGTGACAGACTTTTTTATTCGCTTATGAACTGGATAAAATCTCAAATTTTTCCTAGATCTTGACAATAGTGATAAATATTATTAAATCAATTACACATGTATAATACTATATATATACATAATAATTTAATATGTCCTCTTTCAGCTAAAGAATCAGAATATGATGCAGGATCTAATGCTTTGAAATAAATAATACCTTGTCTTCCTTGTAAAAATACATTTCTTCATTTTATATTCAAATACCATGTAATCATCTTTTATTGTTTGAATTCAATTTTACTTTTAAAAAAATTAGTTCTTTTCTCATATGTTCTGGAGCCTCCATTACAGCATAGGAGAGCCCACTGGGCATATCTCACTAACTCTGCAATTAGTGGCACCACATTGGTAGCTTGCAACCAGCCATGGTAGGAGCATTTACAACATTGATACCAGGAAACATACAAATAGAAGAGGTTTTATTTCATGTGTTTTTTGTTGTTGTTGGTTCTCCAAGAGTTTTCTTTAAAGGCATACCACTGATACTTAACCTTGGAATACACAAATTTAGAAAAAAAATTCTATAAACTTTAATTAGGTAAATGTTATTTACCTGTATTTAGTTTTGTGAATTTTGAATAAAAAATTAGATGTACTATTTTAGCCCTCTAAAGATGGCAGATGCTAAGAGAAAAAAATAAATTAACTTTATTCAGAATTCACATAACCAAATAAATATGTGACTTTTAAATAATTAATTGAATGTTCTTTTTTTTATGGTTTGTAGTATTTCAATCCCTGAGGTTTTATAGTTTATAACTGCATTATGAGATAACCTGTGCATCTGTAACAAACATATACCTATATATATTCTACTTTTTGTTTCTTCAGTCTTCTCTTTATTATCCCAAATAATATATAAATAATTTTTTTTGAGGCAGAGTCTTTGTTGTTCAGGCTAGAGTGCAGTGGCACGATCTCAGCTCACTGCAACCTCCACCTCCCAGGTTCAAGCGATTCTTCTGCCTCAGCATCCCAAGTAACTGGGATTACAGGCACCCACCACTGCACCCGGCTAATTTTTGTATTTTTAGTAGAGACAGGGTTTCACCATCTTGGCTGGCTGGTCTCAAACTCCTGACCTCATGATCCCCCTGCCTCAGCCCCCCAAAGTGCTGGGATTACAGGCGTAAGCCACCACGCCCGGCCTATAAATAAAACTTATCTCCTTAGATTTACAAATTTTTCTCTTGTTTTCTTACTAATATTGTTAATAACAATTTAAGTGGTAGAAGTCCTTCCAAAATCGTTTTTCAGGAATGAAAAATCTAACTTGCTTAAAGCAAACCATGGACTTATTGCTTCACCATTCTTGCTTGCGGAGCTGAATGATGTCACCAAGACGCTGGTTCCTCTGCTTTCTGATGTCCTCTGTGCTGGTCTCATGCTCAATCAGGATACCCTTAATGCTGAACCCTTCTCACCTTCTCAAAGCTTCCCATGCAGGAGAAGATAAATCATAGCTTTCCAACAATGGAGAGGTCCCCCACGTCTGGACCTCTATGGCCTAAATTAGGTCACATAAACCATTCATGAGTCATGCCTTTTGTCCTGTAAGATAGGATACACTAATTATTACACCAATCAGGACTGACTTTGTAGCTGGGGTTGTCAACTTCCCCCATATAAATGGGTTAGATAACTGTTTTCAGAACATTGAACTGTCTTCTTTTCCTTTGTTTCCTTTTTTGTCTTCTTTTTTTATTGTAAGGAAAGAAAGGTAAATGAATATGTGTTGTCAAAAACAAGAGATGTTCACTACATTTTATTTTAGTAAATAAACTTTAGTAAATCCATTTAAATTACATAAAAAGGATGAAACGTTTAGTAAATAAGTTTGAAAGGCTTGCCATTACTTTTTTATGAACAGTTTTAATCTAAGAGATATTAAATATAGCCAACACAAAACAGAGTACATTATTTTGTATTCTAAGAAGCAGATGTATATTTTCAAAACTAAAATGAATAATCTATTATTGATACCAATAGGGAGCTCTTCATTTGAATAGCTTTTGGAAAGAGATTAAGATATAATAGATCTAGAAATGGATATTTGAACCTCTGACCCCACAGTGTCTCAATTCACTATCTCATTTTTCCTGCCTAAAAATGTTTTAATTAGGAGGCCCCAGTCTCCAGAGATAGCCTGTATATAGATGTGTGCTTTTTGAAGTTTAAAGTAACTGAATAAACAGAAGAGATTAGTTTTTCCGTAGAACACAAGTCCTTTAAAATTAGGGGGAAAAATAGGGACAATGAGTGACTACAGTTTTAAATCTCAGACTCCCGAAATAGGATTGATCAATATTCAAATAGCCTTTGACTTGGTAAAGAAAAAATGTCCTTCCCAAGATTAAGAATAAACAAAATTCTCACCCATAATATCAGATAACACAGCTTTACAAACAGGATACTAACCCTGATTTTTCACACACTCTTACATCACCTCAATTAATTTTTTAAAAATCCTATTGGGTCCTACAGAAGAGGTTTTCATTCTACATTATAAACATTATCCTAATAAATGAATTTATTTATTTGGAGGTATGTATCTTAGGACATTCTTTATAGAAAGGGAAATAATTCCAGCTAATGTTGCTGCTTCATAGCATACATAGTCTCTCTTGCTGAATCCTTATGGAATATGGCTTCATTGCCAATTCACATTCCTTTTAATGAAATCCCTAATGAGTCATTACAGTAAAATGTCCACACACACACACACACACACGCACACACACACACGAACAGTGGCCAGTGGCTAGCTGGGACTGATTCCTTGTCTTAGTTTAAAGACTTGAGGGAAAAAAAACAAAAGATTGCTATAAAAGACCTCTTTATTCTGTAATCTAGAAAATGCAAGAGTAGTGAATCACAGAGCCTCAATTTATCCTTAAAAAAGTCACCAATTCATTTATATTCCTCATATGCTTGCTTTTTTGTTTTCTTTTGTTTTTTGTTTTTGGTTTTTTTTTTGAGTCCAGGCTGGAATGCAGTTGCACGATCTCAGCTCACTGCAACCTCCACCTCCCAGGCTCCAGCCATCCTCCCACCTCGGCCTCCTGAGTAGCTGGGTCTATAGGCTCCCACCAAAATTCCTGGCTAATTTTTGTATTTTTTGTAGGTTTCCCCATGTTGCCCAGGCTGGTCTCAAACTCCTGAGCTCAAGCCATCCACCCGCCTCGGCCTCCCAAAGTTCTGGGATTACAGGCGTGAGCCACTGGGCCTGGTCATATGTTTGCTTTTGAAGGTTATACAATCTTCTCAATACATATAAAGTTGATAATTTGATTTTAAAAAGTACCACTTCCACTAAGAGATTATGACCAATTGATTCTAAAAAAGTGAAGTTGCATGGGCAGAGAGATATGGTCAGCACACAGGCATAGAAACTTTTTCATCTATGGTTTCTGTACTGAATTAATTTGCTATCACCAAAGGAATGCAGAAAATGCTAATGGGATCCAGTTTTCCCAATACCTTTCTATTTGTTCTAACACATTTCAACTTATATCTATCTTTTGATATATGGTGTCGTTGGTGCACTTCTCTTTCTCTTTTTTAAATTACAGCTATAGAATTTTTCTGAAAACATGTAACTATTGCTAACTTAAAGTGTAATAATTATTCAGTTTATTGTAAATATATCGTAATGATAATTAATATTCCTTTAATTGCAAATAATTAAAAAGCCTATTCTAAATGGGCTTAAGCACTCCAAGAAAATTCCAAGCCTTTCTTTCTAGCTAGGCACAGAAGGAAGACAGGCAGAGACTGGAATGTGAAACTGTCAGAGGCGTGTGAGCCAGAGCAACACCATCTTAAACGGGAGCTGGGTAAAATGAGGCTAAAACCTAACCGGGCTGCATTCCGAGACGGTTAAGGCATTCTAAGTCACAGGGTAAAATGGGAGGTCAGCACAAAGTACAGGTCATAAAGACATTGCTGATAAAACAGGTTGCAGTTAAGGAGCTGGCCAAAACCCACCAAAACCAAGATGGCGAGGAGAGTGACCTTTGGTTGTCCTCACTGCTACACTCCTACCAGCACCATGACAGTTTACAAATGCCATGACAACATCAGGAAGTCACCCTAGATGGTCTAAAAAGGGGAGACATGAATAATCCACTCCTTGTTTAGCATATTATAAAGAAATAACCATAAAAATGGGCAACCAGCAGCCCTTGGGGCTCCTCTGTCTATGGAGTAGCTGTTCTTTTGTCCCTTTATTTTCTTAATAAACCTGCCTTCACTTTGCAGCGCGGACTCTCCCTGAATTCTTCCTTGTGCGAGATCCATGAACCCTCTCTTGGGGTCTGGATCGGGACGTCTTTCTTGTAACAAAACTGAAGAGTCAATGGGAGCACAGGAAATTCAAACTCATTTTATATGACTATCTCTAAATTTCTTTTTTTATTTCTCTCTCCTTATTCCCATCCTTACTTCCTTCCCACTCTTTTTCTTCTACTTATTAAAACCAGGCCGCCAAGCATAAGGTTCTAATGTGTTCAGATTTATAATGAAGAATGGAGCTTTAACTGAGATAGTGTGAAGTTTGCCATAAATTTTAAGCAAAAATCTATAGAAATATATAATTTTGGTTCATGTGCAAAACTAGCTATTTTCTTAATCACAGGAAAATTATATTTAGAAATACTTGTTTTTCATATTTGTGAAAGTCACATTTTTCTATATTGTATGCAATATAAAAATGTATGACATTTTAAAGTTTTTTTTTTTTTTAATTTCTAATCAGCCTTGTTTCTTACTGTGTAAAAATCAGAAATTGCCTTAGGTAGGTCAGTTGACTGGATTAGATACAGAATATGTGTTTTCGTAACAAGAAGACATTTTGGCATGGCTTTGATATTTTTATGGATGTTTTAACTCCTAAATATACGGGCAACACCAACAAAGATAACTTATTACTTTATTATGGAGGAAATGATTGTAACAAAGTTTGCATAGAGCCACACTATAAAGCTCAACTCAAAATTAACACATTTTGTTTGTTTGTTCCTAATATCAGAAGTCAGTCCAAAAACACACTTTTGTATGTTAAGATTAGTATGTTTTCTGTTAGAACACTTTTCTTTTATCATAGCCATGTAGCATGTTATATAAAACAAATTATCCAAGTGTGAGTAATGAGCACTTCCATTTGGATACAGTTTGAAAATGCATAATATTCTTTTCTCACAATGAGAGCTAAAGCTTAGACATTGCTATGATTACCACTAGTTTGGCAAGATTTTGTGAGTCAGTAATCTTGTGTCATTTCTCCAAAAATAAGAATAAAACAAAATGTCAGTCATTTATACATTAATGTAAATAAAAGAATAGAGGAAATAAGTGAACTACAGTTAAATTCTAAATTAAAAAAATATTCTTTTCTGATTTACATATTTTAAATGCTCCTATTTTTCACATAGAATTGCTGCCTTTGTTACGTACATTGAGAAGTCCCTAAATGTAAAACTAAAATTACAAAAGTTAAAAAGCAATATATTTTCTGATTAAAAAGCTAGAAATGTTTTCTTTGTGCGTCTATGAAAGTATTTCTCCTCATAGGTTAACTAATGGATAGCGTATTTGTACTAGAAGATGTTCCTGGTAAGTGAGAAAACCAAAAGCCAAAGTATAATCTAACTCCATCATTTTAAATAAAGTCAGTGTTTCTATTCAAACTACCATTCACGATCTCACTCTGTGTTCTTGCTGATACACATAAATAGGCAACAGCTAAATGGTGATTAAATGCAAATCCTCAGTTTTACTGCTGGGCTAGACAATTGGACAAGTCCCATGCTATAGGGAAATCTATTAAAGTGGGAAATGTAATAGGCTGTCTGATTAACTGCAGCTGACTAAAAATGACTAAGTCACTTTAACAGAGAGTTACTTTCTTTAATGGGCCTGCAAAAGGTAGGTCCCGGCTGATTTCCTTCTTCCTTGGAGATAGATATACAGCAAGAAGGTGAATCAGGCACCTAGGTAAGAGCCCAAGAATGCAAGAAATATTCTGCAATGTGTAAGCAGTTGCATTTAACACAGCAACAATACTCACTAGTAAACATGTTATTGTTTATTGGGAAGAATTATCCAGAATTTTGCTAATCAAACTGGCTACTTAATTAGGGAGCAGTAAGGGTTGGAAAGAGTTGCAACTTCGTCTCTAATACTTCTATAAAAAGCACAATGCTGCTATATCCTGCTTTTATCGGAAAAGCCAAGAAATTCCTTTATACATGAAATTGCCTTTGCAAAAAAAGAAAATTATAACAATGAGAAAATTAGGGCAGTGAAGGAGATCTGATCTGGCCAACCCTCTCTTGCCTTCAAGCTGCCCTTAATTATTCCTGGGCTTAGGCCAAGCTAACTTTAGGAGAGATTTAGTTTATAGTTTAAATAATAATAGCCCTTCCCCAAAACTCAACCTCCTTTGTAAAGCTAATGAGAGTCCAGGAGGCTAGGAGGATAGAGGAACCTGTATTTTGCTAAGGTGTAGACAGAAAAGTTTGCAGGCCCTTATTCTGGAGGTCACAAGATATGCAACTTCCTTAATTACTATTGCAGATAACATCACTATTGCAGAACCTAAGACTGGCCTTTTGAGATATCTTTTTCAGGTTTTGCATGTCTGACACTAATGGCTCTACCCAGACCCACCAACCACTCCTGTGGCCCCACCCAGAAGCCACTCAGCATGCAGGAAGACCATTTCCCATACCCCTATTAAACCTGCAACCAGACAGCAGCCAGCACCCATTGCCAAGCCACTTCCATCCCTTCCTCCAAACTACCTTTGAAAAACCATAGCCCCTGAATTCTCTGAGGCTGATTTGGGTAATAATAAAACTCAGGTCTCCCAGTCAGTCAGCTCTTGGTCAATTAAACACTTTCTCCATTGCAATTACCCTGCCTTGATCTATTGGCTCTATCTGGGCAGTGGGCAAGAAGAATCCATTGGGCAGTTACAGCCAAGGAATTCTTTATATACATTTTTTAACTCAAATAAGCTTCATTTTTCACTCTTACTTAAAAAAAAAAATTAGTGCAACACCTCCCCCATGCCTTAATTACTATGACACTTGATTATATACATGTACAAATACACACATATATGTCATACATAGGGAGAGAAAAAAACTTTTTTATCATCTAAACAGCTTAAAGAATCAAAACTTTAGGAAAGAAAATGTTACAAACCTGTATAAAAATAAATATCCATCAACATTTTATTCAAGAACTATGTATTCTAATCCATTAGAATCTTAGGACATGGGTAAAATATTAAGATAAAGCCACATTAGTATAGTTCTTTTTGACAAAATATCTCCGGTATATACAAGAACCATTGAATTAGTAAACATTGTATATTGTTTACCATTGAATTGAACTAGTAAACCATTGAATTAGTAAACATTGCATATTTTGTCTCAATTTTTCTAGATGTAAATCTTGATTTTATAAAGCAACTTCCATCATTTATATACCTGTAATCACTTTAAAATCGTGTTGGCAATTACTCTGCAGACTGTGGTTTGTATGTAGGAATGTAGTATGCTGTACTTCACTGCAGATGCTAGAAAGCAACAAATTTACATTTTTAGAATCGTCAACAGGTAAAATTCTGGATGTGATTTGTATTCCCTCAGTCAGATGAAATCAAACTGTATCTAGAAGGCAGCAGTGAGATAAAGGACACATATGTTGGATTCTGGTATATTCTCTGGCCAGCATGAGAGTTGTATTTTGCTGGAACTGATCGTACTTACTGTGTTACGCTGCCATAGCCAGAATGGGAGTAGAACTTATTTTCACCTGTTAGCAGCAGTGAATCTGTATGGATCTGCAGAAACCTCAATTCTTGCTTCTTCAGAAGAAAGAATTTGATTGAGGCAAATAAGGCAGAGTAAGATGCTAAGGCAAGTTTTAGAGCAGAAGTGGAAGTTTGTTAAAAAGTTGTAGAGCAGGAATGAAAGGAAGTAAAGTACACTTGGAAGAGGGCCAAGTGGGCAACTTGAGAGATCCAAGTGTCCAGTTTTACCTTTGACTTGGGGTTTCATACATTGGCATTCTTCCGGGGTCTATATTACTGCTCCCCTGATTCTTCCCTGTGGTGGCTGTCTGCATGGGCAGTGGCCTGCCAGCACTTGAAAGGGGCCACATGTCCAGTGTGTTTACTGGAGTTGTACACATTCTTCCTTGAGGCATTCCTCCCTTACCAGTCGAATGTTCCTAGAAGGTCATATACCAGGTAAACTCTGCCATTTTGCCTTCTCATGCACATGCCCGAGCCCACTTGCCCAACTCCTGAGATCTTATAGGGAAACTGATGATCACCAGTTTCAGGTGTTCCTATCTGTGGAAAGACTGTCTTTCCCTGGCCCTGGCTGTGACCAATTTTTATTTTAGAGAGACAGTGTAACAACCACCTGCCCATCACCTCATGGTCGTCTGACATTCCTGGTTGAGGGGGTTGGGGCCTTTCTGCCCTACTCATGTCTGACTAACTACCTACTATAACCCAACCTTCTAAATTATTCTGATAGTCACTTAATTTCTAGAATGAAAATTATTTTTACTAAGTTTAATTAAAATAAATCAAAAATACTCTGAATAATTGTAAGTAATAACCAATAAAATGGAAATCCAAGATTGGGCATCTGATCTACTTGGGGGTGAAGGCATTAAAGATCTAATCAGCATTAAAAAATGAGATACTAGGAGTCCATGGAATGTGGTGATACGTTTTTAGGTATGCTGCCGGAAGCTATTACTGAATAACACATATGGCTGCCAAAAGTCTTCTGGCCTTCAGTCAACAAAGGATAAGTTTGTCTAGTAGGAGTCTGCTGGAAGAAAGGAGCATTGTAATATTGCCTTTATGACCCACTGGGATTATCTTTTGACTGATCAAGATAATATATAGTATATAGGCAATGAGTCAAACAATAATAGGAGAAAAGCAGTGTAGTAACTTAGGATTTTGGAGTAAATCCATGCACATCTCATGAAACAAGTCTCATGAAAACAGACCTTGCCTTGCTTCTGAGTCCTAATAGAGGTTGAATATCTCAACTTAGAGCATCAAATGAGTATGACTACTAAAATGTTTGTTTAAAATGTTGCTGTTGTCTGATCCACCTAGTCATATTTTTTGTCGGGCAGCAGAATCAAGTGGAAGTTGTAAATATGACCTCAGACACAAGCAGGTTCTTAAGACATAAGCACCTTTATGAACTTGTGGCTCATTGCCAAGTACATCTCCTCTTTGATGAACTTCTGCCTTTACTCAACTCACATTGATAGCCTCAATGCTCAGATTATCAAAAAACAAAACATTAATATGCTTGAAAGGTAATTCTGCATGATATGCTGACACTGGGCAATAATGAACTTCTGTAGACTATAGCTCATGCAAGGTGGCCCAAGGCCCTGAGAACAATTTTCTATGTCTGTATTAGTCTGTTCTTGCACTGATATAGAGAAATACTTGAAACTGGGTAATTTATAAAGAAAATAGGTTTAATTGACTCACAGTTATGTAGGCTGTACAGGAAGTATGGTGGCTTCTGCTTCTTGGGAGGCCTCAGGAAACTTACAATCACGGCAGAAGGTGAAGGTGAAGTAGGTACATCTTACATGTCCACAGCAGGAGGAAGTGAGGAGGGGGGTGCCACATACTTTTAAACAACCAAATCTCATGAGAACTCTATCCCAAGAACAGCATCAAAGGTGGAAATCTGCCTCCATTATCCAATAATCTCCCATCAGGCCCCACCTCTAACACTGAAGATTATAATTTGACATGAGATTTGGACAGGGAAACGGATTCAAGCCATATCAATGTCTGATATGACCATCCATCTGATAAATGCAGATGCTCAATTACATTTCACTATGTCCATCATGTAGTGTATGACAATTTGTCTTTGCCAGAATAAACAATTATATTGGGGATAGATTCACTATCCCAGCCCACCATACCTCTCACAGTGGCACCACTCAAAAATTTCTTGAGTATCTTCTAAATTACTGTGACATCCCATTTGATTTTGTTTCTGAACACAAAATCAGTTTACATTTTACAAAATGTAAAATTTACATTTTGTTTTACAGTTTACATTTTACAAAATTTACAAAATGAAAATTTTACAGTTTACATTTTACAAAAAAGGAGACCAGTCACTAGAAAAATTTAAGATTAATTGATATTATCAAGTTTCTCAACAAGAAGTTGCAGCAGATATTAGGAGTACATGAAATTGAGCTCCAGAAGACTCAGTTAGAAAGTCAGCTGCGAGATAAAACTTGCAACTTCAAGGTGGTGTACCACAGGATTTGGTATATGTTTTGAGATAATACATAGTGCTTAATGCTATCTCTCTCATTGCCAGAATATATTGGTCCATAAACTAAGGGGTAAAAGTGGAAGTATTACTTCTCATAGTTACAAACCTGCAAATACTTTGTTTCCATTCTCCACGCCTTTCAGTTTTTGCTTGTTCAGAGGTTTTAATTTCCAAAGGAAATGCTTCTACTAGGAGACACAATGACATTTCCAATACTCTGGACATTTTAGACTGTGATCTGGCAATTTTGGGGTCCTTATGACCAAATAAAGACAAGAAAGGAAAAATATGTGACCTGGATTATGATCATAAGAGGGAAAGAGAGTTGCTGCAACACAATGTTGGTAGAATGGTCTACACATATATGAACCTGGGGGAGCACTCATAGGACTCCCATCCCAGTGATAAGACTGGAACAATAAAATACATGGAAAAATCATGGAGGTTCAGATAATTCAGTAAAAAGATTGATGTCATAGCATGTAGAAGAATCTTGTCCAGAGGAGATGCTATCTCTAAGCAAAGGAAATGAAATGGACAGTGAGAGCAGAAGATGCAACTTTTCTAAATCATTATACACATAACAAGATGGCTCCAGGATGTCCATATCAATAATCAACAGAACTAACAGGATGAATAAGCAAATTAAGTATCAACTATATGACTTTTAACACACTTCTCTGTCAGTAGCCAAAAAATACAAAAAATCAGTGAATCTATAGTTAATATGTGTAACATAATTAACAAATTTGACTTAATTGACAAATATGAACCACCATATTAAACAACTACAGAATGTATGTTCTTTTCAAGAACATATGCAAATTTATAAAATTTCAAATCCTATATCAAGTCCTAAACAATTAAATCATTAAGTGTATATTTCCAATCGCAGTAGTATTAAAATGAAAATAAATTACATAAATAAAACCAGAAAAGGCCAACAATGTGGAAATTAAGTAATAGACTACTAAACAACCCAAGGGCCAAAGATGTAATCACACTGGAAATAGGAAAGTACTTTAAAAGATGAGGAAAATATGCTATATTAAGACTTGTAAGATGTAGCTAAAGCAGTATTTAGTAAAAAAAGTATTGCCTTAAATTAACATATAAAAAGACTGTCTAACATGAAACAATTTAAGCTTGCATAATTAGAGGCAAGAAAATGAAAAGCTTGTATAAAGCCTAAGGATATTAAAAGGAAATATAGTAAAGATAACAGCAGAAACCAGTGATATGAAGAACAAATGTGTAATAGTAAAAAACTAAAATTTAAATGTTACTGCCTTGGAAATATCAATAAAATTGATAAGCCATTAGACTGTTCATAAGAACAAAGGAGAGAAAACACAAATTACTAATATTAGAAATAAAAAAGTATGTATCAATATAGACTTAAGAGGCCTCAAAAATTTTAATGAAGAATACTGAGAAATTTTTAACAAATACATTTGCTATGTTGAGTGAAATAAATTTATATTCCAAAGAATACAACTTACAACTAAACAACAAAAATAAAACAAAAAAAGAAGGAAAAGATATTCAGTCATACTCTTAGGTGACAGAATACTAGTTACACTTGCAGAGGATGGAATTCTGGAGGGTACTTCTTGAATGTTGTGTCCTATTTCTTGGTAGGAGTATTCCATATTTTATGTCATCTTTGTAAAAATTTACAATTGCATAGACTATAATATGCCAGGGTCATTTATTTTATTGTTCAAAACATCTATATTTAAGTTTTGAAAATAAAATAAATGACAGTACTATTGGGTTATAATCCACAGAATAAAATAAGTATCCGTGAGTTTATGCTGATATAAAAGTTATTTATTTAGAAAATTCAGGCGGGGCACGGTGGCTCACACCTGTAATCCCAGCACTTTGGGAGGCCAAGGCAGGTGGATCAAGAGGTCAGGAGTTCAAGACCAGCCTGGCCAACATGGTGAATCCCCCATCTCTACTAAAAACACAAATATTAGCTGGGCATGGTGGTGTGCACCTGTAATCCCAGCTACTTGGGAGGCTGAGGCAAGAGAATTGTTTGAACCCGGGAGGCGGAGGTTGCAGTGAGCCAAGATTGTGCCACTGCACTCCAGTCTGGGCAACAGAGCAAGACTCTGTCTCGGAAATAAATAAATAAATAAATATTTAATAAAAACATATAGAAATAGTGAGGAAAATGGAAATCTGTCTTTAAATTTCATAACATTGATGGCAGTGGCTGTACATATGAAGCAGCCACTGAGGGGATGCCAGCTACAATGGGGGAGGCGTGGATGGGGCTGTGTTCCCCTTGCAGCCAGTGGGAACCAGAAATGGGGGGAGCTTTGTGCCTGACCAGGTTGGCAGGGATAGAGCCCTGTGCTTCTAGGCATAGATGCAGCTACCCAACCATGGCTCCAGACCCGGGTATCACTGAGCTCTCAGGAGCCCGGAAAGCCCCTCTGCCCCTGCAGGCCCAGAAGCACCTGCTCCCATTCTTCTCCACTCCTGACGGCCACTCTGATTTTGGAGCAAAGTTGAAGCTGAGCCCAGGCACTGTCACGACTCGGCCAGGTGTGTGCACACTCAAGGTGGCACTCACATGCCAGCCTCTTGCCACCTTGGCCCCCTCTGGACTTTGGGTACCAATAAGTGCAGGAGGGAGGCTGGGGGAGCTGAAGGCAGCTCAGCGCAGGCCTGCAGGCATCCCTCAGCATGAACAGCCTGGGTGCTGTGGACAGCATGTTGATGGCAGAGGCAGAGATTCCTGGGCAGAAAGGGGTGGATCCCTGGTGAAATCCCACCTTCTGGCCAGGGACGGCCTGAATCTTGGGCTGCCAGTTGCAGATGGAGTGTGGGCCTGGAGTGAGAACCTACGGTGCTTTTTCTGGGCCCATCCATGGCCACCCATGGACCAATCATCACATACTTACTCCCTTCTGAGCCCATAAAAACCTCTGGACTCAGCCAGACTCACACAGATGTCAGGACTACCAGCGGTGGGAAGGAGCTACCCACTTCAGTTCTCCTCGACTTGTTGGGAAAACCTAACTGTGATAAAGAGCTATGCACTGCAGGCTTCCTATTTGCTGAGAGCTGGACACTTGTTGGGACAACCTGCCTGCATAAAGGAACTACCCACTTCAGGTCTCCTGAGAGCTGTTCTGTTACTCAGTGAAGCTCCTCTCTGCCTTGCTCACCCTCCAGTTATCCACATACCCCATTCTTCCTGGATTCAGGCCAAGAACTTGAGACCCACTGAGTGGCAGGACTGAAAGAGGTGTAACACAAATAGGGCTGAAACACATCCCCTGCTTGCCAGGTTGTGAGCCTCTAGAAGGAGGGAAGAGCTGTGGTCCTTTGCGGAGCCCAGACCTAGGGACTCCCTGAGTCAGGGCTGTGACACTCACTTTGGGCTCTGCGGTTTCTGGCATCTCTAGGCTTCCTGGCACCACCTTGCTCCCCTCTTCCAGATATGGGTGTCTGCAGCAGAAGCTGCATGCAGTACATCTGGTCCAGCTGTAGCCTCATATGGAGCTGGCACCTGTGCCAGTGCCTGCAGCTGCCTGCCCCGCTGCAGCAGCCAAATGTGCCTGGCAGTGTGCAGTGGTTGGACCCTGCGCTGGCTCGACCATACACCCCTCGCTGCTGTAGGCCTGGCTTGCCCTTGGCAGTTGTGGGATCTGGGCTGATAGTGTAAGCGGAGCGCAGCCTACTGGGCTGAGTGGGCGGAATGAGCCCAGCAGGCACAAGCAATACTCAAGCAGAAGGCACCGCTGGCCACAGAAGTTTCTGGCCGGTGAAGCAACACCCCAAAGATCCTGCGACAGCATCTGCTTGGAAGTTTCTCTAGAACTATTTTCATAATCACTGTTTTTATTCTTGGCTGGATCTAATCTACTGAAAAGCCTATCAAACACATTGTTTATTTCTGTTACTTTGTTTTTGTTTTTAAAAATTTCTGGTAATTCTTTCTTATGCTTTCTTACATTTCCCATCTTTTCTTCTTACATTACCCACCTGTTTTGGTATATCCTTTATATTAGAAGGCATACAAAATTTTCCATATAGTAGATTTTCCAGCTACTTTTTCCTTTAGAGCCTGAAACATATTAATCATAGTTCTGATGAAATCTTGGTCATTTAGTGGGCCTGTGTCTCCGGGCTGTGGCATTCACAAATATTTATTCAGTGATATAGCTGTTTTTTCTTTTTAACCTCCTGCTCTTTTCTCTATTCAGTGACAACAGCAACCTGATCTACTTTCTTCAAGCCCTGACTCGCACTAATTTTGCTCCCCGCTACGCAATAGCAGACAGTGGAAGGCTGGAGGGAGCTGATGTGGAAGCAATGCCCTAAGCTGGTCTAAAGTTCTGGAAAAGTCTTTCTCTGTAAAGGTTTTTGTTCTTGTTGTTGTTTTAATGGTCTTTGGGTGTATTTCACAGTGATTACTATATCCCCTCTCAGACAGAGCCATGAGGGGTTGTCTTCTCCGTGGAAATCTGATCATGTTCCTGGAGAGAAAGCCTGTGAAAGCTTGAGGGATCCCACTAAGACTGTGGCCCACACAGAGTTTCTGACTCTCATGCTAGTTCTTACTTGTCCTCTAGTAATTTATCAAAATTTACCATGTAAGAGTTCATACTAGCTTTTGGCTCCAGATATGCAGATCTTGACTGTGTCTCTCTTGATGTGGCTGCCTTTCCAGATTTGAGGATGGTGGTTTGCCTCACAACATCAGTTCTCCATGTGGTCTAAGAAAACCCATCGATTTTCAGTTTATCCAGCTTTCTCTTTTTATAAGGATTTGAGTGTAGACAGTAAGGTCTTTATATAATAGAAGTTGTCCTGCCAATAGTTTTTGGATCCATCTACATTCGGATTCTTTCTGTTGTTTAATCTGGTTATTCTTCTTTCTACTACATGTTTTTGCACTTGCTTTACTCTGTCTCAAATGCTCTCCATTCCAGTCTTCAACTAGATAGCACTTCCTTCCAAACTGAAATAATGTTTACCAGGAGAGTTCTTCACTATAACTCTAACGTTGCTACCACCACACTGTACCTAGACATATACAACTGATGCTGTTATTTCTATTCACATATCTTACTATTTCTTGTTTACTTGTATTTGCAATTTTAACTGAAACTATGTAGTTCAATTAATATATGTTATTGCAAAGAGTCTCTTAGCTCCAGTAAAGGAAAATAAATATCTGTTCTTGTTCATTGGTGTATATATAACTGTTTTTTCGAAAGATAGCCATTATTTCCATTTAAGGATTAAAAAAATGGATACAGAGAGAATGAGATAAAATAAATGTATGTCTTTATTATTGACATTTCTATTATTATAATATCTCGTTAAAATAAGTAAAATTAGCAACAATTGCCTGCTAAGAGCAGTAGCTTCTTTTGGAAAGTGGTAATACTGGCCTAATGTTTATTTTAGGGAAGATGAAAATAGAAAATATTCTAAAGCTCCATTTCCCACAATTCTGAATATGTCGTAACTTCCATTTGAGTTTTGTATTACAGTGATACTGATAAGATATTTTAAGTGATAAATTATGGGTCCAAATTTAGCTTACACTGAAAATATCAGTATCACTATCATTTATATTACATTTAAAATGTCTTATTAGTATCACTATCACTATAAGTGTTCAGTGTATCACTTAAATGAAAGTTACTACATATTTGGAATTTTGGGGAAATGGAGCAACAGAACAGAACATTCAATATCTTATTTAATTTTAAAATACATAAAGTGCGTCTGTGTGTATCTGTATATGTATATATGTATGAACTTGTGAAAGTGCAGTCAATCCTCAGTGTCACACACCTGCACGCCACATACACACACCCATGCAGTGTCACAAAAACAGTGACTGCACCCTCACATGTTCTCACAGCATGATGGCATGAGGTTATGTTCCTATTTATCCAAACAGTCCCTGCTTATACGTGCATTTGTCACCACATAGTTGTTATTAAAATATCGATACTATCAAGTCATTTAGTTGGAAAGATTATCATGTGGAAGGCAAAATCCATTTGTATTATGCTTTTATGTACCCTTCCTATGAAGGTATTTACTCCCTGTATTATCTATTTAAATGAACAAATATTATAAACTAACAAATATAAATAAAAAATGCAGAGGAAAAAGCTTGCATATTTCAATATGCCTTGAAATCTTACCTTCCATCTAAACATGCTAAAATGTTAGACAAGATCCAGGGGTGAGGAAAAGCAAGGTTTTTCCTGCTGAAGTGTGCACTAGCAATGGTAAAAGAGTTTGAGAGGAGAGGCCGGGTGCGGTGGCTCTCACCAGTAACACCAGCACTTTGGGAGGCCAAGGCAGGCAGATCACCTGAGGTTGGGAGTTCGAGACCAGCCTGTCCAACATGGAGAAGCCCCGTCTCTACTAAAGACACAAAATTAGCTGAGTGTGGCAGCGCATGCCTGTAATCCTAGCTACTTGGGAGGCTGAGGCAGGAGAATCGCTTGAACCTAGGAGGTGGAGGTTGCAGTGAGACAAGATCATGCCTGGCATTCCAGGCTGGCAATAAGAGCACAACTCCATCTCAAAAAAAAAAAGAAGACTTTGAGAAGAAGCTAAAGAAGACCAAATATGAAGAGGGGAGTCCTGTTATACTCATTGCTTTCAATATAAAAAGCAGTCTTTAATGGTACAGATAAATATGTAGAATTGCTTGTTAGCTAAAACTGTCTTGAGTTGTTTATTTCTCTGATAATCTATTTTAATAACTGGCAATTTTTATAACTGTTAATATATTACTATAAATCAACCACAGTATTATTACTATATTTCTACTTGAAAAATAATACTTGAACGTTAACCATTAAAATAGGACAGTTTGTAAATCTCACGTTTTTCTGGCCTTGGACAAACACTACTGAATTATTGAGAATGAATTGCCCACTGCAGCTTGGAATAATCAGGGAAGACTTCTCACCGATAAAGGATCTGAAGTATGAACAGAAACAATACAAGCAGAGAGGAGTGCATTCTCCGGTGTCTGGAAAGGTAATATATAAGGCATGTCGGTTGATCTGCATCTGGGAGAGTTCACGGGGAGTATGCAGGACTTCCATTGGGAAAAATGTGAATACTCATAAAAATATGACGTTAAGCCTGTTTGCGGGAGTTGAAAGACACATTAGAGGAACATTTATCTTACAGGAAGTACTAAACCTTTGGAGGTATTTGAGCAAGTGGGTGCCAACATGTACAGCAAACAAAAAACATGTTTGCCCTGGAAGATAACTTTCTTTGATATTTAGAGGAAAGAATACTGGCCCCAAGAATATCTCAATCCGTAATACTATGATAATTGATCTGAAAAACTGAACACATGAAATCTTCCTTGCAAACTGTTTGACTGCTGTTTCTCACACAAGCCTGTTCTCCCTCTCCATATGTATTATGTTTTAATTATTTGGTTAATTACATGTATTTGGTTATACATGTTCAGCTGTTCTTAATTTTCTTTCACAAATCTCTATTTGGATATGTCAAATACCTACTAGATCCAGCGAGGACTCTGGATTTTATTAATGTTACTGCCTTTATCATTCTGACCCTTTAACACTTTCACACTCACACATAAGAACTGTCATGGTTTTATTCCTCCCCCTTTGTATTTCTTATTCTCCAAAATGAATTCCCATTTCCTTCTCTCTACTTTCATTAGCAACTAATGTACCAAATCTTTTCTGTAATCACAAGTCAGCATGGTGAATGTTTATTTTCAGAACCCATAACTACACCACATTGCTTTTTTTAGCTTTCCAGAATTGCACTGTGACTATGATACCTTTACAATAGCAATTTCACAGCTTTTACGATAAACATTATTATATTTCTCACTTTGACCATTTAAAACAAGGTTGTTTGGTGAAAAATACACTCAGCTGAAGGTTTTCAATCTGAACAGTGTATGACTTTGAATTGCAAAAATGCATTATGTAAATTATCTATTATTTTTATGCCATCACCAGCCCAAGAGCATGTAATAGAGTAAAAAAGTCTTTGGTGTATACTGTTTATAACTTTTCTTACTTTTGGCTACTAAGAGATTGGGAGAAAAACTTTCTATTTGTGAAGATTTATAAGCATCTTAAAATTGGTATTTAAATAGATGAATTATTTACTGAAATAGTAGGTTTTAATTAAAGCTGCATAATGAGTAATGTTACAGCACAGTACAAAAATTTGTCTTACAAGATTAAATTATTGTTTTATAAACCTTACATGATTTATGCAATGCTAATTAAAGTGTAATGAAGTAATGTCATCAACACATGACTAACGCTTCTCATTTCAAAAACTACTTATGCAAGTTTTGTTTCTTAAAATGGAATTTGTAATTTATTTTTCTGTAGTACTTACATAGTGTGTACTCATTAGGATTTAATGAAAAACATTTACATGTGATTTAAACATTGCTTTTTATTAAAATTATATTTCAACTCTGAATCAGTTTGAACTGTGGCTATTTTTTTCCATACATGTCTTCAATAAGAGATCATCTTTTTGATTTTCCAGAGAATCAGTTCACATCTGCTTATATAAAAATTGCATTCTTTATAGATATCTAATTATTGCTAATCTACTGTGCTTGAGGGAAAGGAAGCTGTATTAAGCTAGCTGACATGAAATTCAAGAACACTGAACCAAAACTTAAAAAGTGGAGGGAAAAAAAAGCAAAAATGCTGATGACTGAGGAATAAAATATAAAGCATCTAATCCTTCCAAATGTTGTAAGTAGTTTTATTATCTTTGTTCATTTTGTCTTTGTTGACCAACATTGAATTATAATTACCTTAATGCTCCAAAAAATAATAACAACAAACTTCCAGAGGAAGTAAATATTGCCATTACAATTTCCTTCTAAGATACTGATAAGCATCCTTAAAACTCATAAATTTTATCAGTCTTTCAGAAAAGAAAAAAAAATGATGGAATTGGCTTTTAATTCTGATGAGTTCTAATATAGTTCACTCCTGTTAAATACTCATAAAAGTATTTAATCTAGGAAAGATCAAATAAACATTTAGGCACATTTCTTTCTGATTTGGCATATGATTTGAAATGGAATCTTTGTACTCCATAGAAGTATTAATTAGTTAAAGAAACATTATTTCCTAAAGGATGTCTCATGAAAAAGATCCAAAAGTTGCTTTTTAAAACAAGGTTCACAGATCAAACATCTTGAGAAAAAAAATATGTTCCATTATCCACTAAGAGAGTCACAGTCAGCTTAAAATACAAAAAAAGGATTTGGAAAAAAATTTTTAACTCTAAAGTTTTCAAATGTTTTTCACCATGGACTCTAATTTTTATGAAGGAACTCAAACATCTTAAGCATTGTTCCTCTTATGGCACCCTGCTTTGTGGCCATTGTGTCTAAGGATGTGTGGTAATATAAGTGATGATAATAGATAAAAGTACTTTATTATACATACGGGAAAGAAAAGATTGCCAAAAGGAAAAGTGAATTGTTTAAGTTTAGTTGCAGTATCGAAATGACTGCTGGTGGGCCGTGCGCGGCGGCTCATGCCTGTAATTCCAGCACTTTGGGAGGCTGAGGCGGGTGGATGACAACGTCAGGAGTTCAAGACCAGCCTGGCCAAGATGGTGAAATCCCGTCTCTATTAAAAATACAAAAATTAGCCTGGCATGGTGTTGGGTGCCTGTAATCCCAGCTATTTGGGTGGCTGAGGCAGGAGAATTGCTTGAATCCTGGAGGTGGAGGTTGCAGTGAGCTGAGATTGCACCATTGCACTCCAGCCTAGGTGACAGAGCAAGACTCCATCTCAAAAAAAAAAAAAAATTGACTACTGGTTCCAACTCCAGGGTCAGTGGAGGAAAGCGGGTATGGTATTACTGGTTTATAATGGTAATGAAAATTACCATACGTCTTTCACTTTTGTTTACTCAATTGTTATTTTGAGGATGTATATTATTAATAAATACGTACTCAGACATGATCCTGATACAGTCTGTAAATTTCTAAAACATCTTAAACAAAAATAAAAATAATGATATGACTTTGATAAAATATTTTTAAAGATAACTTGATCAGTCTCTTTTTAATCTTTGTTTCAGAATTAATATGGTATAATGTTACCAGCTTAATTCCAATGATGAAATTGAAACCAGACCAATTGTCCCAAAGAACTGATATTTTTAGTCTTTTTAAATAAATATAGAACTTGAACCTCCTATCTTAATGCTTGAAACTTATATTTGTCTTATCTGAGTCCCTTCCTCAGGAAACCACTCTCAGTCTTCCCAAATAGTATCAAGGGACTGAAACTCACCAGATCACCACATTCAGACACTGGGAAGACACCCCTTTATCTTTCATGGTTTCCTTTCCCCTCCCTAGTACCTGTTTACCTGCATGTAGTTACATTCCTTCCTGGCTACATAAACCCCCAGTTTTGGTTGGCCAAAGAGATGGATTTGAGACTGATTCCTGTTCTCCTCACTGCAGCACCCAAGTAAAGCCTTCTTCCCTGGCAATATTTGCTGTCTCAGTAATTGGCTTTCTGTGCAGTGAGTAGCAGTACCTAGACCATACACTGGTGTTTTGATAACAGAATCTGCATTTTAAATGGTTAGTAAACGTGTAATTTTCATTTTCTTCATGTGATACCAGAGGTTTAAGTAGTTTTCAATAATTTAAGCATTTATTACATAGGCAATTCAACCACGTGAGCAAATAGCTCATTCATATATAAACACTTTCTAAAATGTGATCTTAGCATTAAATCTTAGTGATTTAATGGATAGACCTATTGCCTTGGATTGAAACATCTAGAGTGTACAGAGAACTATTTCTTTTTCATACCAGGTCTAGGCAAGGCTTGAAAATATAAAGCATGTTATAATGTATCCTCTGACATCAAGGAGTTTAGAAGAGATTCAGTGAAAATCCATTAATGCTATTGAGTTGCATGTGGCTGTAACAAGTAAGTGAATGGCATAAACATGCAACTGAACTACATTGATGATCACTATACTTTGATTAGATTACACTAAATGGAATAACTAATCTCCCTTTGGAGTGAGATATATAATATTAGTATTTTAATTGTATCCCTAAATTTTGAAAATTGAGCCAAATGAGAAGTAATATTTATCAGTCTTGAGATACTTGATTTTTTGGCAGAATATCAAGATTCAGATCCTTTCTTACCCCAGTTTTTACTTTATGATTGAGGGTTGGCTTGTTGACATTTTTGTGCCTCCACTATTCTCATCAATACCAATTTGGATAAACATACCCTGCCTAACCATTTTGCTAACATTCCTATTAAAAGTGTTACTCAGTATATGTTAACATACATAACCATAGCTTTATTTTATGAAATTCACAGTTTAGTATACCTTTTATAGGAAAACCTAGTTTAATAATTAAATATTATAATAATACCCTTCAGTTTTTTGAATGATGCAATCCATTATAAAAAATGAATTGAAAGTAATATTAAAAGGAGATTTTCAATAGAAAAGTCATTATTTAAACATGCTTATAAGTTTTGACTCCTTTATATTTTTTAATTTGTGAATTTGTAAAGTTTAAGAAATGATTAAAATTATGAAAATTTAGGTTGTGTACCTTGAATCACAATAAATATAAACTAATGTTTAAAAAATGGCCATCATAGCAACCATACCAAAATATGTATTTTAAATGGTTGAATTTTTTTTCAGAATAATACATCTATAAATGGTGTACATAGTAACATTTAAAAAAATAATTGTTTGCTGTTTGTCTAATTTTTATTTTCTTCATCTAATACCAGTGGTTTAAGTAGTTTTCAATAATTTAAGCTTTTATTACATAGGCAATTCAACCACATGAGCAAACAGCTCATTCACATATAGGAACTTTTTTTTTTTTTTTTGAGACAGAATCTCACTCAGCCGCCCAGGCTGGAGTGCTGTGTGCAGTGGCGCCATCTCGGCTCACTGCAAATACCGTCTCCCGGGTTCAAGCGCTTCTCCCATCTCAGCTTCCCGAGTAGCTGGGATTAGAGGTACCCGCCATCATGCCCTTCTAATTTTTGTATTTTAGTAGAGATGGGGTTTCACCGTGTTGGCCAGGCTGGTCTTGAACTCCTGACATCAGGTGATCTGCCCACCTAGGCCTCCCAAAGTGCTAGGATTACAGGCATGAGCCACCGCGCCCAGCCCACATATAGGAACTTTCTAAAATGTAATCTTAGTCTTTTTTTCTTTATATGTGTTCCTTACAATGTAGTTTTCATCAAGTATACAATGTATTTTTTACCCTATTTTAGAAAATAATTTTTCCACTAATACGTTGTAAAACTTTAACAATATGTCAGAACAAAATGAAATATAAATAAATACAAAATCCATACCTATTAGTTTATCTTAATTGCAATGACAACTGATTAGCCACACTTGAAATCCTGGGAATCACTCTAAAGATATTCTTTTTCTTTGCTTTGCACAATAAGGTGTATAATTCTACCCTACAAATAGAGAACCTTACATTCAAGTAGGAAATGCATTAACAAATAATTGAAATACATTCTCTTAAGTTCTATATCAAAATATGTGTGTGTGTATATGTGTGCTTTTGTGTACATAAGCAC
Organism: Homo sapiens; assembly: GCF_000001405.40. Taxonomy (NCBI): domain Eukaryota; kingdom Metazoa; phylum Chordata; class Mammalia; order Primates; family Hominidae; genus Homo; species Homo sapiens. The sequence continues at coordinate 85,518,129 of NC_000013.11, forward strand.
ATATGCATGTATATATAAGACTACACCACACATGTAAGGGCAGTTATACACAATGGTTGACATAAAGATACAATCATAAACAAAGGTGAAAATGATCAATTATAAATGGAACTGTGGCTGGTTCAGTGGCTCATACCTGTAATCCTAGCATTTTGGGTGTCTGAGGTGGGAGGATACATTGAGCCCCAGAGGTAGGGGCTGCAGTGAGCTGTGGTCCCACTGCACTCCAACCTGGGCCACAGAGTGAGACCTTGTCTCAAAACAAACAAACAAAAACAAATGCTTGGAATGATGAAATAGGATGCTTTATTTAGGTAAATATATACAGTTGACCCTTGAACACTGGTCTGAACTGTGCAGGTCAACTTATATGTGAATTTTTTTTCGACTAAACACAGACTGAAAATGTGTTCGCCAGATGAAAAACTTACATATGCTGAGGGCCAACTTTTCACATATTGGGTTCTCACAGGGCTGACTGAGGGACTTGAGTACATGTGGATCTTGCTAAATTTGGGAGGTCCTGGAACCAATACCCCATATATATCTAGGGATTAATTTACTATGACTAGCAGAAGGGCTAACAATAGGCTACTGAGTTTGAGATAATAGGAAGGAAAAAGTCGCATTGATCTTTCAAAGAAGTATGAGATGCAGAGCTACTGAAGAGTTAAAATAATTTAATCTTACGCTTCTATAAGATTTTTAAAACGTTATTATTAGAGAGTTTAGGGCAGGTTACAAGGAGTGTCTTATAGGGGCAAGAAGACAATTTAAGAGAGATCTTTGCAGTAGCCCAAGTAGGAAAAGATGGATTTAAGCAGTAATTGTGGTCACTCAGAACTGGCAACAAATGTGAGAACTAGGAGACATCACTGACAGAATACAGCATCAGATGAAACGTGGAGTTTGAGAAAGAGGCAGGTCGTGTTTAACATTAACATTATTTTCATGTTGCTATTAATAAAAACAAAAATTATAGAAGCATAATGAGATGGTAATGGGGGAAACCTAAGTACATATTTTTATTAGATTTGAGAAGCTGTATCAGTGTAAGTGTAAAATACAGGGCTTAGTAAAACAGACGTCAGCTTGAATAACAAAAATTAATGAACCTTCCTCTGTGTCATGTTGGGTATGTTACTTAATTTCTCTGGCCCAAGTTTCATTCATTGTATAATGGGACAATAATATTACCTATTGGTTAGTTGGTTGTGAGAATTAAATATTACAGAATAAAAAAGGTAATGTTTAAAATGGCACCAGGCCCATGGGAAACATTGATTAATGTTGAAAATTATTACTATCTGTTAAAAGTAAATCCCAACAACTACCTCATTAGGTGGTTGGGTATATATATATATATACAAGATAATGTTTTAAAGCTGTCACACAGCCTGACAAGTGTTATGTGCTCTTTTTTTTACAAACAGTAGCTGTAGTTATTATAGGCGTCAAGATATCTACATGGAAACAGAGTTGACATGTGTATATGAAGTCTTTAAAAAGATCCATGATAGAAATACAGATTAAAATTCTGTAGGTAGTTGTTAGAGGAAAGAGTGCCTAGATTATATCACTTGGTGAAAAGAAAAAGGGCAAATCAAAGGGTAGAATCTTGAATAAACACCAAAAGGTTAAAAGAAAGATAGAGTAAATATATTTGGTGAAGATAACTGCCTATAAGCAAATTAGTATTCTATATACATGGTATGTTACATACAATGTACTGTGGGGTCTGGGGCATACTTCTGCAGTAGATATAGGACTGGACACACTCTTCATGTAGTAGGGAAAGACAATTCATGTCATTCACACTCGTTCGTATGATTACGTTTGTCACAAATACAATTTCAGAGCTTTTTAAATTTTAAAATTGTGGAAAAGAAATTGAAATGCTGATATTCAGATAGGATTGCCAAACATGGTAGGAAAATAGCATATAAAATTTGCCTACTTATAAGTCAACTTAAACGGCTTTCATGGTACCTGAAAAATAGGTCAAGACTAAGGCAAAGAGTGTGAATACCAGAAAACTTGGACAGAGGAAACTATATGGAAGAAAGAAGAAATAGGACAATGGTAGCTGAAATTGTGAGTAGAAATGAAGACTGAGTTTTGTTTAAAAAAGCAAAACACAGAGCAGTAACAGAGAGGTGCCAGAGACTAAGTTTATAAATAATGGTTAATAAAAATAGCTAAAAATATAACCCTACAACCCCTATTCCAGATAAAAGAGAAAAAATTAAACACAGGGTTGTTAAAAGGAGCATAGGAAAGAATATAAAAGAATTTATCTATTCTTTATTTTCAATCACATAATCCTAACAATCCTGTAGTTAGTTTGAAAGCCAGAACTTTTTTTTTTAAAGATCTATCAGTTGGAAATGTCCATATTCAAAATATACAAAGTAAGACTTTCATAATCTTTGATTTTGTAATAGCCTAAGAATGGTTCAGTGTGTGTTTACTTTCAGGGAAAGAAGTGGGGAGTGTAACTGAAATTTTACTTCATTTAATCCTTGGTTCCAAATAGTCATTTGGTTGCCAAGAAAATGAGCTCATTTTTCTTCCTCATGACTTTGTGTTTGCTCTCCTTTACTCTGTGAACATTTTAATAATAGGAACCTTGTTGATCTGGGTTTTTTCTAATAAGCATTTTAGGTGCATATTTTGCCTGCATCAGTGGAATAAATTTTAAGAAAAAATTTTGAGCTGATTAGAAGAAGAAAATAATTTATAAGGATCTCTCAAAGCTGTATTTGGACTTCTGGAAAGTCCTTCTTTGTGGGGAGTATAATGGTTTATATACGTCTTCATTTTTTAATTTATTTTACATGAAGTAGTTGCCACATACAATTATAGTTGCAAATAATTCTCTTAACACTCTATTAAGTCAAGTAATATGAGTAAACAAAAGTGATTCACAGGATTTCACTTTGTTTTATAGAAATCATGGCCATTTCAAACAATGACGTAGAAATTTATTATAAATTTTGGAAAAATATTTGGGGCTTAGGTGAGAGTAATAATGATGTGTCCAAGATTTAGGTCCATGCTATCTTAGGGAACACAAGAATGATAGAAATGCTTTACTTAGTATTCTGGTGCATATATCCTAATACTCTTTCCCCCAACTTTGAAATTATTTTCTAATGCACTGTACTTACTATATTTAACTTTGTTATTCAGTGTATCTTCTACTTGTGAAATATTGTGAGTTTGTATGCATAACGATCTCTTAATTTTTTAAGATTAATGAAATGATAATAGTTAAGAAAGATTTCTTTGGGTGTTCAATTTATTTTTAGTGCAAGTTTTGAAGTTATGCACATTGTGTGGGAAAGGTCCCACTGATTGCTTTTCTGAAGGAAATTTTGTGGCAATACAATTTAGGTATTAATATTGCATATTACTGAATGAAATCCTGGATGAATATATACCTGCATTGATTGTCATGAGAAGTATTAGAAATAATCGTCACCACCCAATGAAGGTTTTTGTTTTCAAAATTCTTCACAGTTTCCTGAATGGATCTTTATATTCTCAGAATATGACCACTAGAATTAGTTGCATGGAACAACAAACATTATGAAAAGCCTAACCGTCACACCATTTACAAAGCAAACATGAAAATGATGTGAGATATGTCAACGTACAAAGCACAGATGGTGACTGAGTGCCAACATTTTAAGTGATCCTTTTCAGTTGATCATGCATAATTTAATATGTCAGTCATTTAAGGCTCAATAGGAAACAGCAAACTTGTGGGAAGTAATTCAAAACAAACCTCTTGGAGCCAATATTAACAATAAGCAAACTACAACACAGCAGGCAAAAACTATTATTGGATGACTTTCCTGCATTTGGCTTTCCATTTGAAAATTCTGTATTACTCTTTTCCTATTCCAAAGTGACCCAGAATTCAAAGAATGTAATGTAGTTTTTATTCATTTTGATGAAAGTTAGCTTCTTGACATTAAAGTATTTTTGTAGTAGCCAAATGCAGATATAAATGGAAGAAACATTAAAAATATGATGATTTTCCTACATATGTAAACCTTTATTGATGAAAATATTAATAGATGTGTATAAAGTGAAAACTTAGAAAACCTGTAGATATAATTAAGCATTTCTTTGTTGATAACTGTTACTACATTTTTAGTTTCAAGTAATGTTATTCAGTAATGTTATTCAAATGATTTTAGAGTTAAGTGAGATGTGGACAGTGTAGTAAACTTAGCTGTTCTTTAAATTTTTAATTTACAAAAGTATTTTAGATTTTTAAAAATTAAATTTACCTGTTCTATTCATTGTTGTGTAAAACTGGTAGGTATATGCTGACACAGTTTTATTTCTCTACCCAAGTTAATTCTACTATAAAAGGTAGTGTGATTAACTAGTGATACATAAATTTACATGTGTATAATTCTTTTTAAAGATATTGGAACAAGAAAGAATAAGAGACTTCAATATTAACAACTACGCTTAGCCAATAAAGCAGTTATGCCATAAGGACATAAAAATATTAAGGTGAATTTTTAAAACTATAGGGAAAAAAGTGCTCTGCCAGCCCCATTAGATGAAGCTATAGCAGCACAAAGCTGTAGTGTAAGAGGTTTGCATATGTTCAGGGAAAACCCTAGCAGGAAGAGACTTTCAAAAGCACTGAACATTTGAACTGCTTTCTCACCATAAGTTTCTAGTAATTGTGGCTGGTGGCCCAGGATATTAGATGGTCAGCCGGGCCACCTGCACTTGTCATTGCTTAAGAGTAACTGCAAGCCTGCCTAATATCGAAGTGTTGGAAAAATCAGGTATAAATAACAAATGTAAAACAATGTTAAATCTCCTTTGCTTTGGCCCATGTATATCTTAGCTACTTTTCATCTTTCCTATATCTACTATGTTAATATAAGTATAGCTTTTCAATTACCATCACATGCAAGTAAAATAAATAACATCTCCCTTTCCCACAAACCTATAAAGTGTTGAATACAAAGATGAACAATATGAATGAAAGAATATCTGAATAGGCTATGTTTAAATATGGGAAATATTGAAATTCACCAATTTGTGGTAGAACATTATGATTTGAACAATATGGAATTCAGATGCAAATATAGCTCTGGATATATTAAAATTTTAATCCTATTTCAATAAAAAATATGATATTTAATACATGTCACAAACCATTACATTGAAAGATTCAAAGGTTATAATGTCAAAACTGGAGATTGAAAGCTGGAAAGAGTAGAGACTTCCGTAATGCTATTTTTTTTTTTTTATTTCTGTGTAGCTTTAAAACTGTACTTGGAAATTAGAACAAATTCTAGCTAAGCAAGGAAAATGGTTGAGAAAAGCAAAGGGTCAGTCCGCTTTACTTTCTTCTTTCTTTCTATATTTTTTCCGTTTGTCACTAAGTCAGAAGAAAAGCCAAACAGAAGGCTCAGGGTAAGCTGTGTTTTGGAAATTTTGACAACAAAACACATAAAGCATATGTTCTTAAGAGATTTCAGAAAAATGTAATCTTTAACTATAGCTATTTAAATGTAGCACTGATAATTAAAATTAACTGACAGCATTCAAATTTTTTTAGGGTGTATTTGGGATCATGGATAGCAAAGAACAACATTTTTAAAATTCTTAATTTCCCGGGAATAATAAAGTGTATATTTTTATACAAGACTATATTCTCTGAAAACATAATATAATTGTAGTATGTATTTAATAAAATATATACTGAATTTGTTTATATATTTAATATGTATTATCAATGCATATCATATCCTTTTAGTATATGTTTATTTTATATATACCATATATGTTCTCTTACAAATATGTACTTATTATAAATATATCTGTTCTCTTAAAAGTTTGAACCAGCATATTAAAATGTTGAAAAAACCTTACAATTAAGAAAACTGCTTAAATTTGTTTTACTCAGTATTTCATACATATCTCTATGTTTTTTTCTTTTCAACCAAATAGCTATTAGAATATCTGAAAGATCCAATTGTGAATTAAAGTAAAAATATCTGTGATTAGTTTGGTTTTGTAGATGTTTAGTTTCGTTATAACATATTGTTCTTGGCTCTGGGAGGTTGACAGGTGTTATCACAAGCTTCACACTCTAAATAATTATCTCCTGTTGTCCCATATTAAGGGGAAAATACTTAACAATAATTGAAAGTTGAACATAATTATTTCTGCTAGACAATGAGCATCCTAGCATAATAATTGGAATTTTTTTTCCTGAGTTTTAATTCTCTTCATCAAGAAAAGAAGCTAATTTTTAAAACTTTTAGCAAGTATTTATATTATACATGCCATGGGTATATACATTTTCTCCAAAAATAAATGTCTGATGTTATCAGTCTGATTTCACACTGCTGATAAAAACATATATGAAATGGGATAAATTACAAAGAAAAGGAGGTTTAATGGACTCAATTCCAGGTGGCTGGGGAAGCCTCACAATCATGGCAGAAGGCAGAAGGCAAGTCTTACATGGCAGCAGGCAAGAGACAGAATGAGAAGCAAGTGAAAGGAGTTTCTCCTTATAAAACCATGAGATCTCGTGAGACTTATTCACTATCATGAGAAGGGTATAGACGAAACCGCCTCCGTGATTGAATTGTCTCCCACCGGGTTCCTCCCACAACACATGGGAATTATGGGAGCTGCAATTCAAGGTGAACTTTGGGTGGGGACACAGCCAAACCATATCACCAATTAAAGTGAGTTTGCTATCGTTAGCATGAGAGCCATAGAATAACTGTCTTTTCCCATAGGTGCAGCAACCTGGGATTTGATATCAGAATTTCCACAATGACCTTGTCGGCTTTTTCTGTGGACTCTACCCATAAGGGAAGAGTATGTTCAACCACAAATTATGTCACCTGAATGGCATAATGTCATAGGCTCCTCAAAGTGTCCAAATATCTACTCTACAAATTGCCCTCACATTTTGACAATTGTTATTAGGATAAGTGTCCAAATATCATTTTAAAAACAGAAAAGACAACATCATTCATTATAGTAGTTTTGTGTACATTACACACCTAGGATTGTACAAGCATTTGCCTCACTAAGCCATCATTTAAGAAGTTATTAATTGAGACTTAGGAGTTAAATAACATGCCAAGTGATACACACTAGCCAGCTGTTAACCTGGGATTTAAACTAGAATTCTAACTTTGAAGCCTGTATTATTATTCTGCATTGTTCCATCACATCATATTTTATCAATACTATTGTTAAGCAGAAGATGCTACTAAGTGACAATTAAATTAGAAAGACTGAATAGAAAATGAAATTTCTACTGGATTTACTGAAAATAAAGATGCTAAGAAATGTTACTACTTTTTTTTTGAACTAAGGAGAATTTTAAGATAATAAGATCCAAATTCTTTTTTTACGAAAGGGAAACTTAAAGTATGTGTGACTAATTCCAAACTGCACAACAAATAGGGATTAAAACGGATGTCAGTTGACCTCTATCAGCCTTGACAGAAAGAGAAACTACTCTTTAGTTTTAGAGTTATACTCACTCTTCATTTCCCTTTCTTTATTGGAGCATAAGCAACTCTTCTGGCAATAATGCCTTAAATGTTGCTTTAAACCTGGCTTCTAACTCACCTCATGAGGATATTTTATCATAGGGAGTGGGCAGAGGAAGATAGTCAAGAGTGAGTATGGAAGAGAACCAAAGACCAACTTGCTTCTCCACTTAATTTTGTGGTAAGCTAAGCCTCTCTGTTGACTAAAGCAGTATATGCTGTAGAATATACTCAGTCACACTGTCTAATGGTGCCTTGCAGATTTATTTATATGTGCTTCTAATCACGACTATTTTCCCTGCTGGAAACTGAAAGTAGAATTGGCCCTCCTTTCCCAAAGAAGCCCTTTCTGTATTCTTCATACCCAGGGGACTATGGCACGATGGATTCAGTAGATTTCACAAAATAGAAATTGAACATAGTCAAGTGAAAAATACAGTCTGCAAATGTGAGAAAATAAATTAGGATAAACACTGGTAAGTTTTACTGTCAGAAATTAGTTATTTTTAGGATCTGATATCAGAAGGGATTCATCAAACTATGAATGAGCAGCTAATCACAAAAGAGCAGAGCAGGGGACCACCTTATCTACTGCATAGATTCTAAACTAAACTTACACATTCTTAGTTTTCATGCAGGTCATTTGAAGAACTTTGTTGGCATAGGCAGAGTGCATCCCCTATACCATTCTTTAGATTATCTCTTCCTGTTAGCTATTAACATGGAGGCCTCATGTTCAAGAGCCATTTGGAATCATCGATTTGATACATGAATCAATATAGCCCAGGAATATTATAGGGATCCTCACTAAATATGCACACACAAAAAAACTTCTGTAGTGTTAAGTAGATAAGAGTAGGGTTGTTACTACATCATAGTTTATAACATGCTTATACAATGAACTCAACAAAAACTTTCCATTGCCTAACAAAAGCAAGTGAAAATTAATAAGAGATTATCCTAGACATGGACAAATAGTCCCTTTGAGAGGGTACTTGCTTCTATGGTTGGAAATAGGTGTAAACTCAAACACTGAATAAGATTACAACCACCTTACCTAGTACCAGATCATAGACATCCTATTGGCCAAAGCAGAAACCGACCATCACTAGAAACTCTCTGCTGTAAATAGGGAAACAAAAACCAGAATTCTGGATTTAACTCCATGTTGGTCAAAGCAAAAACTGACCATCACTGGAAACTCTCTGCTTTAAACAGAAAAACAAAAAAAAACCCACCAGAATTCGGGTACCAACTCTCGGTGCCCACAAGGAGCTGATCTTAAGCTGATCCTATGTTTTTCAATGAAAATTATAATCACTGACTAGATTAAGAAGAGGACCCAGAGGATCTACAGTTAATTAGCTAGGACAGGATTTTACAAAGACATTCCAAGGAACAAATAGTCCACAAGATGCCTCCAATAAAGCATTTATAGGCAAATACGTTTGGGAAATCATAGAAATTCAGAAAGCACATTTGCATATTAAAGTCTCCAGTTAAGACATCTGTGCAACTTTGCAGAATGTGAGTTTATTTCTAAATTTATTTGTTCATTGTATTATTTATTTTTGTAAACTTAGTTAATATTGAGTTTCTGGCATTTCCGGAATACCTTTTAGGAATGAAACTAATGTAGAGATCTCTTAGAGTGATGCAGTGGTAACCATGGCTATAGAAAAACACTGTGAAAAAGGAAATGTGTTATATCAAAAAAGGATAAGTCCGAACAGTAAAGCCACATCATACCAAGTTGTATTCGCCTCAACACACTAAAGGCGAAACCATGCGATTGACCTAATCCTAGCAGCAATGGTAGTTGCAGCTGTCAATATATGATCTCATCATGGTAGGAATACAAACATTCTACCTTTACACACAGAAATTGATATGAAACCTGGTCATTTGTATGCCTTTAGGTCATTTTTAGAGATTAAGTTATTTATGTTGTCTGATAGGAATGTCTCATGTTGACATTTTTGTCTTTTATTACAACTTAAAACTTCCACTTGCTATATTGAGATCAACTTGCTTCAAAATAGGAAGCTGGCATGAACAACTTTGACTGTGCAAAGGTTTCTTTATAGGGTCTCAAGACAATAGCAAGATGAGTTTTCTAAATGATAATATGGATATTTAGTGGCATGAGCATTCTTCAAACAAAGATTAAAATACACATGCCAAGAAAGGGAGAAAACACAGTGAGGGAACTAATCACAAGTACCACTGAATTTAGGTTCCTGTTTTTGTGACTTCAAAAATGTACCTTCTAACAAAGCAACAGGAATCTATCCTTGAAATGCTAGTAGGTCTTTTCTGAGTTAGTGATAGACAGTGAAAGCCTTTCTCAAAAAACAAAACAAAACAAAACAAAAAACACATATAGCTTCTGTAAGATACTTGGGAAAGCTCACAGGAAAATAAGAATATGGTCTTCCTGCAAATAATGACAGCAGGAGCTACTTCTCTATATTACTCACAGATATAGATATAGAAAATCTGGAATAAAATGGCAAAATATAAATAATAATTGTCTTTGTGTAAATAACATTTTGAGTGATTTATTTTCTATATTTTGTGTTCTCTGTTGCCCCCTTTTCAAGATAAGTACTTATTATTTTGCCAATCATACAAAGTAGAAAGATATTTTTATAAAATTAAGAAAAAAGATGAAAGCAATACAAAATTCTGAGTGGTTTGACAGGATTTTACACAAATCTCAGAACAGATAGATCCAGACGGTTAATATCATGATATCTAACATTTCCATATAAACACATTTTATTTATTATTTGGGAATAAATAATGAGATCCTCAGCTTTGCCTGTGGAATCAGACCTTGGCAATCAGCACTAGTTTACTTTCTAAAACAAACATCTGTTTTTTCTCAGGTTACCACAGAATCAATTTGAAACATAGTCACCACTGATGAGTGGACAACCTGCTATTTCTTTGACTGGTTTCAAATTATTGTAGTCCTTTATAAACTTCTTTTTCTTCAGCAGCCTGTGTTATTGCCAAATTCCTTAAGAAGTTTCTGCAAGCATCATTGTCCAGCAATGTCCATTAGAAAATGCACAATGTTAGGAATGCTTTAGATTGTTAATCTGCCTTGAAGCAATCCTGGATCATATCAAGAAGATCCGATTTCAGCCAAGATAGGAAGTTGAAAATTCTCAGCGAAAATTGATCATGAAAGTGTATTAGTTTAGCAAAATGCCAATCAAATGATGCAGGCAGAGATGAGCTAGAGAGGCTAATGAGGAAAGTGAGCACATCTTTGGCACACTAACAGATAGCATATTGTCCTCTGGCTTCCAGCTCATACTTTCTACTTAAAATAAAATTCTCAGACAATTCCTCGGTTGTGATACACTGTGAGCCCAGTGGCAATGGAGTCACAGGCATTACAATTTAGCTTTATGGGGCTAGTCTGTAAAAGAGGGTGAATGACAGGAAGTCAAACCACATACTGACTGATAAGTTGAAGAAGGGTGATCACAAACAAGTCAGGCAGAGAAAACATCACAAAACCCCATTATTTGGCAAGTTGAAGCAGTGTGAGACATTGCTGATGGCTGAGAAGTGACAGCAGGGAAAGAAAAAGAAATATATAGTAGCGTGTAAGCTACTGAATAGGGAAAGCTCGATTTGTGCAAAAATGTCATGAAGTCCTTGGGGCAGAGGCAAAAGCCTGCATGATGACAGGTCCTGCAAGCAGTGGTCATAGCCAGTGACTAAGAAACAGTGCACAAATATTCTCCTGCCTGAGCTGCATTGCAAATAAGAAGTTTATGTTTTCAACCAAGCCCATAGAAAAATATTGACATCAAATATTTTTAAAGATGGGATCCTAAAAATGCTATCTTTTGCTGAGTCACACAGAATAGTAATGAATTATAGAGTCGTCATTTAAATTGTAAAGTATGGTTTGTCTGATATAATTACTGAATTGTAATTATGCACAATTAGTGAGATTTAACACTTTTAATTGCTTAAATATGTAAATGGAATTCATTCATTTTCTGTACAGGTGCACTGCTATGAGAGTTTGCAAAACAGCTGTAAAATTATTGACAGTTAAATGAAAGAATAAAGAATGCTTTTACATACCTGTGCTGACATGACACCTCTCCTCTTCTTTCACTGATATCCACATACAGTTTCAGAGACAACACATATCTGTCACTGAAAATATTTTTGACAACCTATCAGAAATGACCTTTCCTGACAACCTGTCTCCAAGAAGCTTGTCCTTCAGGGCTGCTACAATGGCCAATAAGACACACTTGATCCATTGACTTATTTAGGAAGTGGAGTGGACAGAGCTGACTACGTAACAAGAGCCGGGCAAAGTAAAAAGGAGGAATATAGAAAAACTCCAAGATATGATGCTGGGCAAATGTTTAGATGGTGAATCCAAATATAGGTGCTCAATTACTGTAATGCATCATTTTAAACCTAACATGCCAGTAGCCTCTTCCCTCTCAACATCACCTTTTTACTACAGCATATTCAGAGGGTATCTAGTAGAACTGTGGTTCTATATGTTACTATGTGTTACATAAAAATGTCTTTTGACAGTCTGAAATTATTGTGAAATACTAGGTTATGCAAAGTTAAGCACCTTATAAACAGTACGTCAAAGACTTTCCATATTAATGTGTGTATTACACATCTTCAAGAATGATTATGGGATGTAACTTCCTGACACCCTGATTTGTCTAAAACTTATTTGCTAGTTGAACTCCCCCACAACATATTAATGTGTGCATTACGTATCTTCAAAAAATGATTATAGGATGCAACTTCCTGACTTGTCTAAAACTTATTTGCTAGTTGAACTCTCTCATGACATTTTTTAACAAACTAAAATTGCGGTGAAAAAGGCTTCAATCAGCTATTTTCTGTTTAATAATTTAGGGTTATCTGAATATATGTATCTTTCTTTCTCTCAACTTTAGATTCTTTGAGGGGAGCAGTGGGATATTGCCCACCTCTATAATGCTGGGACTTAACGTAATTCTTTAACATAGTGAAACTCAATATATGTTTATACAATTAATAAGCAAGTGATGATGATTGTAATTCTAACACTGTATCACTCTCAAATTAATGTGATGCTATTTTTTTCCAATTTCTGCCAACTTGGGCATAATTTGATAAATCTTGAAAACACGAACATAGAAACAGCTGTTAGAAACTATATAATATTCATTGTCTAAAATTCTTGACCCTTGTGTTATCCTGTATACATATCACTTAAAAACTAATTTGTATAGATTTGATATCTCCAATTATGGTAATCATACATAATTAAAACACACATACTTTCTGGGATAGACTTGCTAAATAAATGTAGTTGAAACCTTTAAGGTGACCCAAAATGAGACACATCCTTGTGTAAGCCCATCCTCTTGATCCTGTGACATGCTTCTACTCAAGAGAATATGGTAAAGGTGATGAGACATCATAGCGATTATGCTTTCTTATATGGTAAAAATGAGATATTTTGTTGATGTTATTAAGGTCCCCAATTGATTGCCATTCAATTAATACAAAGGGAAACTATTCTAGGTATGACTAACCAAATTATACTTTGCCTTTAAAGCAAACAAACAAACAAAAAACTAGGTCTTCCCTGAAGGCGGAGACTCAAAGCAGCAGAAACTCTTTCTTTCCACAGCTGGCTTCTAAGAAGCAAGCTACCGTGAACTATACAACCAAACAAAATAAATTCACTCACCAGGCTGGAGAAATGGATCCTTCTCTAGTCTGGCTTCCAGATAAGAACACAGCCCAGCTGATACCTTCATTTCAAGTATTGCAGACCCTGAGCAGAGAACCCAGATGTTGATCAGAAATGCCCTCGTGTTGGACTTACAGGAAATGATCGAACAAAACATGGATATTGATTTAAGATGCTAAAGTTGTGGTAATTTATTACACAGCATAAAATATCGATATTTGAAAATTAAAGCTCAGGGAAAAAATAAGTTTGTTTTTAGTATATGTATGTCCCAAATATTACATGGGGCAAAAATATTTGTTTCTTACCTGAAATTTGAATTTAGTAGATAGCCTGAATTGTATTATTTATTTGTTTGCTTATTTATTATTTTTAAATCTGCCAATCCTACTTGGGAAATTCTGTTCACATTTATCACTTCTTCAACTCTACAGTTAATTCACTAGTACTTACCATTTAAAGTTTATTCTGGGAAGAGTAGTAAAATCTCAACAAACTATTCTAGGGGAAAAAATTGAGGCCACAAATTAAGGAAGTTTTAGATTCATATAGTGTAGAGAGCCTGTTTTGCTTTACCATTTTTATCCTAGCCATACCCACACATGCCAATAATTCAAAACAGGTTGTCACTTTTAAACACACACATACACGTAAACACACAGCCATTAAAACACACCCCTAAAACCACATGCTGTGCAATAGCTTAGTTCTCTCTAAAGAATATTTTGTAGAATTTCCTTTAAAATCAAAATCAGAACAATTAAAATATTTTTAAAGTCTATATTCATTTAATTTCCAAATTTATCTTAATGTCACAGGGATCCAAGTAAACTAGTAAAATAATCAATACTAGACTTTTGGATTACAGTTGTATTTTCTTTAAACATGGTACCTGCCATTAAGTTCCCAATACATCCTGAGAATTTCTCTATAATGAGGCTATTGTTTTAGACTTTAGATGGCCTTTAAACGAAAAAGAGCCCAGGTTTTGATGTCGGTGAAATTCTGTTTAATCCTATGTTCTTACAGTTGTTCTAAATACAATTCACTTTTTATATATTCACTTCAGGAGTTTATGTAATATATCTGACAGAACTATGGTTATTAGAGAGAGAAAAGCAGAAAAGGGACAAAGGCATGGTGATCATGAGAAATGTGTATAGGCTTGTACTCTGTCAAACGCTTTCACCTATGTATCGTCTCTTTTTACCTTTTACCTTACCCAGATGCTATGAGGCAAGTAAGGAAGATGGTATTAACTTCATTTTTCAGAAGAAGAAAATGAAAGAGCAAGGTTACATAACTCACGATTTGGCACTTGAACCCACAGCTTCATGTAAACTATTTTTTTTCCAATTTATTTTGTCTCAATTACTTTCACTTAGAGCATCTCAATTAAGGAAACCCTACTATTTATTTGTAAACCCCTTTCTTTGTGTGAGGCTACTTGAGAAGAAAAAAGTAAAAGACAAAATTTACAGACACAAATACTGATTCATAATATTCCATTGATGAATAGGAATTCATGGATAGAGGGCAAAGAGCTAGTTCAAGCAGAAAATGGCTTATATCCTGTACTTCACCAGGGAAGTAATTCTGATCTCGGTTTGTTTTGTTCATTCCTCCATCATTGTAGCATGACTATGAGATCTCAGCTATCCAGCTGTCACAGAGGAAGTGGGAATTTTCAACCATGAATGTCAAGTCATCTTTTCAATGTGAAGGTTTGCTACTGCCGAATAAGAAACACCATTTTGTTTTCAGGTATGTGAGAGTAAATCATTATACAGAATACCAGATCTCCATATTTTAAAATATGATAATGATAAAGTTATTTTATCCTGTAGAAAGACTGTTGATAGTTAAGATCAGTCTAGGGTTCACACTGGTGTAGAGGATTAGATCACCTCTTCTTTCTTCTTTTTTTTCAAGGGTCTATTGAAAAGCTCTCAGTCTAGCTGGGTAGCTCACTCTTTGACGTGTAAGTTGTTCTTCTGTTACTGAGACTACAAAGAGGTTAGTTTAACCAAATGTAACCTTTCTCTTCATACGCAGTAATGAATGCACATGGACTCTCACTTAAATGTCATTGTCACCCGGATGTTCACATGAGATAGGCAAAAGTAGTTCACGGCAAGGGAAACCACTTCAGCCAATAAATATCTGTGATGTGTAATGCCACGTTACCTTTCGAAAGAAAGAGGTTTTTTTTTACATGTTGAGGATTTTATTTGTTTTGTTTTTTTTGTATTATATCCCTTAGTCATATACATTTGAAAAATGGCTGTACATATTACAAATGTCATATAATTAATTTTAAATGGAAAACAATAAAACTTCTACATAAATCATCATTGACATTAATTTAAACATGGTCAATGCATCATTTGAATTCTAGGTAGTTCCATATACTGTTTCGCAGATGTGTCTTAATTTTGTGTCTGTTCAGAAATAACTAGAAAAATATTTAAAAGCTTTTTACATGGCTAAATATATAAACATATTTTTACTATAGGATTTTTCATTCCAACATTTGGTTTTTAAAATGTCACAAACAATTGTTAGTTTCCTGAGAGATAACCTAATTTGGGCGGTGTGAAATTCATTGGTTTTAGGTTCACATGCATTTCAATGACTTTTTTATTTTTGTTATTCATCTCAATTGAGTTTTAAGTTATATTTCCTTTAGTTCTTAGCCTTCAAACTTTAAATATGATTCAATTACCTCAAATTCTGGCAAGGACTAATAATATTACATTCCCATAGGGGAACAAACAACCATTAAGTATTGTTGATATATTTTTCGTATGAAAGTAAAGCAGTATAAAATTAAATTTTATTATTAATATCACTGGCAGAATAAATTATTCCCAAGGGTCAAATTATTCTATTTTATATGTAGAATCTAAATTTTGCATGATAATCTTATATTTTGCCATTGTAGAAGTCAGGCTAATTTTCTGATCACAGCTATAAATATTTATCCTTTTTATTTTCCATATTGTGAAGATTTGTTAAACGAAAATAGATTAACTCATTTCTATCTGACCTTATTACAGATATGCTAAGGAAAACATTCCTTGAAATTTAAATCTGGCATAATTCAGAACAATTACTATCTAGAAAAATCAGCAAGTTTTCCTAAATCTTCTGAAGAAAGCTTTCTGATCTTCTTTATTATAGTTTTTGAAATTTTATTTTTTTTTTAAGAAAAGGTAATATAATGCCTATTATGAGCCAGCCACTTTGGAGATATTAACACATTGAATCCAAATAACAACTCTATGAGTACTAACTTATTTTGTAATTGAGGAAACTGCATCACATCAAGATTGGATAACTTGCCTCAAGAGATACATATATGACTTTAAGAGAGCATCAATGGAATATTAATGAGGAAGAGAAATTAGAGAAGTTTATTCTCTAGAATTCTCTACGCCAGCGTTTCAAAGATTTAGTTCTATATCTAACATTAAAAAGAGGCTTGAACATGCACATATGTACACACACACAAACACACACACACTCTACAACTTTCATTTAATCATATTTTAAAAACACTATTTAAAATGTGTCCCTTTTATTTGACCAAGGCTTTATTTCTTTCACATAACTCTAAGTAATGTCTAATGAGACACTGATATTCACTTCACCTGGCTAGGCCAATGCCACTCGGCTCCATATGTCTCCCTGGACCAAACAATAATGTTGGTCCACAAACTGCCATCCAGTTTATAAATTAGAGCCCAAGTGTCAGGCTGCATCTAGGCATATGGATAGCAAACTTACACTAGGGAGGACTAAAAATCTTTTCTTCCTGCCTCTGAAATATCCTTGCTTACACTCTTGTAGGAGGAATTCAGCTAATATCATTCTAAATATTAGCTCAGCAATTTTTTTAACAGCTGTACCCCTGGATTTTCAGTTTATCCAAATAAGCGGAATCAAAAGATGGCTTGTTGAAATTTAATTTGTTCTTGAATCAGCAAAGGAGGTCATTTAAGCATAAAAAACTTTTTCCTAGAACATATCTACAAAACGCAGTTCCACACCACTGGGCACAGGAAAGCTTCTCCATGAACAATTGGCTCCTTAAGCACAGGAGAGAGTCTTGGCCTGAATTCTAAAGTTGAGCTGCCTTTCTTCATCATATTTAGAGGAGGTGCCAAAAACTCTTCATCTATGCTACGTATATTCTGTCTCTATGTATGAAATATTGTACACCAACCAAGAATAAAGCTTTAGTATTTCTTTCCTATAATGGATATGAGTTTGCTTTAGAACTTTCTGTTGTGTAATATTCATATATAAGATATGACTTCACAGGAATGGCATAATTTATAGTAAAACCATCACAACCATTGGAACAGCAATAATGCAGAATTGTGTTTCTGTAATTCACCACTTTGAATGTGGGTAGCATACTGCATTTTATCAGTGATGACACTCCTTAATAGCCATTTTATGTAATGAGACCATCTGCCAATACTTTACCAAGCATTCACTACTCTTCTAAGTGTTAAAAAAAAAAAGTACTTAAAATGCTTTTTTTTTTCTGTCTTTGCAGCGCACAGCTTGTTCCTTTAAAGCTAGGGAATTTCAGAGGTTTGACCTATTTCAGAATATTATTCTCTAGCCTAAGTTCTTTGACTGCATCCCTCTTTAGATTCACATCAAACTAATTCTGGATAGAGTTTAGTGATCTTTGACATCAATATAATAACCTTTGATGCAAAGAAATATATAATTCTATTCACTAAATTACAACCAATTACATTTAGACCTTTGACCCAGTTAATAACTTTGAGATCAAGCAAAACAATTGGAGGAACGGAACACTTTCTTGATCATTGCCTGCAATTTTCTATGAATTGAAAATTTTACAGTGAGCTAATTGGTGGTGCACTGACTTCCTCCCAGAACTGAGAAGCAAAGATACATTAAAATAGTTTACAAAAATTGTATCATTAAAAAGTACAAGATTATAAAAAGATAGAGGACATAAGTTATATAATATGCATTTTATGTAAAGATAGTATCATAATTACACACTTTTTATTAGAAACTGTAAGTGAATTTACTTTGCAGTTTTCATATTAGTTAGGATTCAAACTTCTTTTATGTCCTAATTTATGTCTTATAACTGGACTAGAAATTTAAATACAGTCATACACAGCAAAATGACATTTATGTAAAATACAGACTGCATATACTCATAAGATTATGATGGAACTGAAAAATTCCTATCACCTAGTTATTTGTGTTATAGTTGCTTACTATATTGAGTACAATAACATGCTGTACAAGTTTGTAGCCTATAAGCAATAGGTTACACCACACAATCTAGGTGGATAGTGGGCTGTATCATCTAAATATAACAAGCAATAGGTTATACCACACAAATCTAGGTTTGTAGTAGGCTATACCATGTTAGTTGGTGTAAATGCACTCTATGATGTTTGCACAATGATGGAATAACCTAACAATGCATGTACTCTCATCATTAAGCAATGCATGACTATGTTTTTTAGTTTATTTTTCCTGCTACAAGAAAATATCACATACTGGGTAATTTCTAAATAATAAAAAATTGTTTCTTACAGTTGTGGAGGCTAGGAAGGCAAAGATCACGGTACAGACATTGGTGAGGGCTGCTCTCAACTTCCAATATGGTGCTTTGTTGCTGTGCCTTTGTATGGCAGAAGGTGGAAGAACAAGATAGCACTCTCTTTTACCTGCAGCCCTTTTATTAAAATGCTAATCCTATTCATGAGGGCATAGCTGTAAAGACATAATCACCTCTTATTGGCCGTATCACTTAATATTGTTGCACTGGGAATTAGGTTTCAACATGAATTTTGGAGAGGACATCATTATTCTACCATAGCATTCTGTCTTATAGAAATCATACCTTCTTCAAAGTTGCCATTGTTTTAGAATATATTTGACATGTTCTCTGTAAAGAGTATTAAGATTTTTCTTCCTCAACATTATTCTCCTTTTTAAGTCAAGATAAGAGGAAAAAAATAATGTTTAAATTCAGGTAACAGATTGCCAAACCAAGAAATGTTTTCTTGTGCAGAATATGAAAAATCAAGTTAAGATAAAAATAGAGCAATTATTTGAAATGGAGGAACCATTTTAGAGTGACGATATTAGCACCGACATAATAAACCTTTGAAGATGTTTGTTTATTTTTTGGTTCAGTTAAAACTCTGTTCTATAATAGAATAGAAATTGTGTCCAACTCTTTATGGAACTATTTGTTCCATTCACGATAATTACTATTGAAAGTATTTCATTCATCCAAGCAACTGTATCTGTAAGCCCTGGGCAATAAAAGTTGCCAAGGATTTTAGGCTAAGATCCAATGTATATTTATCTGGAGTTTTGAGAAACTCCTGGAAACTAGGCCATTCTCATGTTATGTATATTAACAATAGTTTCCCATAAAGGATCCTAGAATAAGACTGTTCCCATGAGTTACACTTAAAAATGTTTTCCACATGCAGAGCTTACACTACATATGAAACAAAAAACTTGAAAATAAGTACAAATAACATCATTCTGAAAGGTACTTTAATGAATCTGTGAATGTGTTGTTATTAATTTTATTGTGTTAATTTCTAATATGAACACATACAAAATTATAGGTACGTTAGCAATTCAATTTTGAAATCAGATAGCTTTATTTTTCACAAAAGGGGATATGCAAGTAATCACAATCATATAATATTTATTTCATTGACTATGTATTTCTTTAGAAATGGTATGCTTATGTAATTTCACTACAGATCCATTTAAAACCATTTTATTGTCTTCTCTAACATAAAATCAGTGGTATCATTTCTGTTATTATATTTTTAAGGTTTTACCTATATGTGTTATTTATATTTATGTAATTATTTTAACTTTATTACAATTTTTCTGTGCTTTTGTGCAATTTAGATCTCCTTCCTAAAATGTGTGTGTGCGAATGTTTATCTGTATCCATCTTGCAAGTTAGATCCCTCGTTTAGCTTCTCCGATTTCTGTCTCACGTAGATCTGTGTCAAGATCTATGCTATCTAAAGGTGGGACAGTGATTTATTTACGTTACCAGTTAAATAGAGCATTTTATTTTTAGTCAGTCCTTTTTGTACATGTGGTGTTTATAAATCCAAGGTATCAATGGCTCAAGTACAAAGTCAATTACAAAAAACAATTTGACTTCTGATATGTGAGACGTAGGGGAATGTTTGAAGGCATTAATATTTGTAAATAATTATATGCTGGGCACTCTGTAAGTACTCTATTGTTGCTATTTATTGTTAATTAATTTTTCAAAAATAATTATTGTGTACCTACCTTTTTATCAAGTATATTTAACATTACACAAATATACAAAGGCTTCAGCTTCATGGGATTAACATTCAAATAAACAATCCAGAAAAATCACTTAAACTCACTAAGATTATCAGTGGACTGGGTCGTACTGTTAGGACTAAATACAATATATAATTGCAATTTACATAAGTGTATGTCTTCATTGCCTGACAGCCTTCTAGGAGCTAGAGATGGAACAGGAAGAGAAAGGCAATGATAGGGCTATGATTATAGGAAAGACTAATCGAAGGGCAAAGAGCAGAGGCAGCTAATCTGTCTAAGAAGGGATGAGGTGAAGGTAATGCCGTGGAAGGTTTTCCACAAGAGTTGATAACTAAACTGACAGCTGAATTATGACTAATTGGAGTTAGTCAGAAAAATGAGATGAGGTAAGAAAGGAAAAATGTTCCAGGTAGTTACCGCATTTATGGTACAAAAAAAAACAAAACCTGATTAACTTGGTTAATTTGTCTGTTAGTTAATTATCAAAACTTTATTTTATCACGTAAGACATCTGAAACTCATAGAGTTTAAAACATGTATTGACCTAGGTTCACCTAATTAATGAGAGAGCCTGAATTGAAACCTATTCTCTCTGACTGTAGAGAAGAAAATATTCTTTCCAATTTGCCACCATGATGGTACATCATGGTTTGAGTTAAAAAACCTAGACTAATCAACTCTAGAGAATTTGAACATTTTATAAATTTTTAATTTAAAATGTTGCATATGTTAGTAGTATTAATATTCCTGTATAATACAAAGTAGTAGACAATAATTATTTAAAGCCTTATATGTTTTACCAATATTTATCCAAAAGCAGCCCAACTCTTAATGCTATCTGATCAACACAATTTCACAAACATGAGGTTTATGCATACGGTAGGCTAGGCAACTAGGCAATTTTACATATATTTTCCTAAGAAGATATGACTATTGTTTTTGTTTCTGCCCTAGAGGAAACCTTGAGGTTTCTTGTCTCTGAAAAGGAAAAATTCAGAGCAAAATTTCAATAAGAGCAGCAATCATAAATGTCCCAATAGTTACAGAAATCTAAGTCAATACAAATAACATACCATTGCAGTTTTCAAAGAACAGTGCTTCTGCTGTGTCTTATGCTGTTGTCCCATGACAGCAAAAAAGTGATGTAAAATGTGGATCAAATATCAGTTAATAAAATTTATTTTGAATATAGTAATGCTGAGCTTTGGAAATAGAAATACTGTTGGAAATTCAGCTTTAGTTTTTGAAAACATGACAGGGCATTTAATTATTTTATTAAATGTTCATTTTGAAAACATATAGTTGTAATCCATAATAATTTAAGCTTCAACATTACGTGGGAGATTTTTCATATAAATATATTAAGGTTAAATTAAACATTGCCTTAGACCAGAAATAAACTTTCCATCAAACAAATGCAAAAAAAGAAAGATGTTTTCTTCTTATGTTTTCCAAAAGCATTTTTTTTGCTCTCTGTGACTATTTTGCTGTAGAAAGGGCCCAAACCTTATTGTTCAGATAGATGTTCTGAACAGATTTTTAAAATGTTTGTTATAAAGATGGACAATTTTCTTGTAAGTATAATAAATTTTGACAAGTATCCTCTGTTTCTCTGGAACACATAATTCACTTTTTATTTCTCTCATTGTCTACTTTTATAATTATTATCAACGAACTTCTTTAGTCCACAAAATATGGCTATGTCAAATAAGAGCAAAGATTATAGAACCAAAATTCTAATTAATATTTTAAAAGTCACATTTTGCATGAAATATTTGTGTAGGTTAAATAACTTGAACATATCATTCTACATAAAAACGTACGTTTCTCTAAATAGTCATTGAATAATACCACTTGGAGGGATGATAAATAATTTTCAGCAATTATGTTCATAATATGTCACTAATTTCTGGATTATCTAAACACTCTTGGGATGGGCAGGATTCTAACATGGACTCAAGAATCCTGCCCTCTGGTGTACTACTCACTGTGTATAATTACTTCCCCTGAGGGGAGAGCAAAATCTGTGAATATGATGGGGTAACCATTCTCCCTTTAACAACATTGCATAGCAAAGGTGAAGGGATGTTGCAGATGTAATTCATATCCCTAATCAGTTGACTTTAAATTAATCAAAAAGTGGATTAGCATGAGGTGGCCCAATCTAATCAGATGAGCAGTGCAAAGAAGTCCAAAGACTTTTCTGTATTACACTGTTGCTTTTCTCTGTTAAACATGAATAAAGACAACAACCATTGCATTTCATAAACTACCAAATTGCTGACTTGCTCTGAACTTACTACTAATAAAGACATCATTACAAACTTAATCAACATTATTTATTTTGGGGTTTGGTGTATGTACATCTTATTTCAGTTTTTGCAACTTCTTTAGAAATGTTATTTAATGGCCATGTCTCCATCAACCCATCTTTTTAGAAGGAATTTGTAGTCTTGTAATCTCTTCTAAACAACTGGATAAAATTTAAATGCCTGTGGAACACTAGGGGCTTCTTCAGACACAGCAAAACCTCCCACATTAATTTCCCAATGTATCTTTCAGGCCTCTAAGTCTTCATATTGTAACATTTTCAGCATATAGTTCTAAAAGAGTTTTCTGAAAAATTATATGCCTGGTGCTATCTAAAGTGTAATGCATATTAACTGCATACTAACTTAATTTATGCTCACAAACAAGGCCAATATTTTGCAAGTATGCTCCATACGGCTCACACCTGGTAATAAACTTTTGAAATACTTTTGTTCCACTATACACTCCACTTCTACCCTGGCCATACCAGCTTCTTCCGTGCATTTCCCTGTACCTCAGTATGTTCTAGCAATTAAAGAGTTGATATCCTGCCTAGCAGGAAGCTCACAGGACCACATCAAACAGAGTAGCAAGGGCAGTTGGCTGTACTGGCTGTTAGGTACCTCTGAGCTAAGTATTATTATGCTCTTTTTATATTTGTGTCAGTGTGGATACTGAGAGGTTAAGCAATTTGCCCAAGGAGAGTTGGACTTTACAGCCAAGCAGCTTGACTCAGAAACAAACTCAAAGTGATTCTGTATGGTCCTAGGTATTATAAATTAAACGGAAAGTCATTGCATTTACACTTGTGTTTTAGCAAATAATATTCAAGGAAACTACAATGGAGTGATACAGACTCTTTATATTTCTACTACATTCTACATTTATGAATATATATGTATACATATTATGTATGTAATAAATTTAAGTCCTATTTTGAAATAAGAGATTTAATGTAACCAAATATATTTTATGTAAAATATAGACATACTGAAGTGACCAAAAAACAGATAGTTATATCTTTTAAAGAAACAAGACATCAGGAAAAAAAAATCTTTACATTTCAAAAGTATATCTAAGTGAGTTTCAGCCACAATTGTGCTTTGATCTTGTTTTCCAGATGAAAACTAACGTGGGGTCGAGGCACCAGCCCGCTGTCGGCTGGCACGACCACTCCTGCGGCCTGGGCTTCAGATTCTCTCTCTAGCTGCAGGTTAGTGATCATTTGAGCTAATTTAAGTAGGACTGTTCCAGAGGTGACCTTTCCAGTCTCCTATAATTTATATCATTTGCTGGCAATTGGAAAAGCAGCTTCAATAACATCAGCCTCCCAAGAAGCTAGTGGTTCTGCTGGACCTCCTGGCCAGACAATAGATATCAGTGAAGATCCTGTGCCGAGAAAAATCATGCAAGAAGATACAGGAAGGGATTAAAAACAAAATGTCCTATAAAAGTTCTTACCTGTAATATCAAAAGTTAAAAAGAACTCTTTAAATCTGTTTGCATAAGGCATTACATAAGGTAATTTATTTACAGGAGGCTCAGCCAAAAGTAGGAAAGCAGAAAAAAATATAGCAACAGGGATTCCTTTTTCTTCTTTATTTCAAAACTTGTATAAATAACACTAACAAGGTTTTATCTCTTGTGCCAGAGACACAAGGACATGAATAAATGAGTTAGTATCACTTTGTACAAACTAAGGTGCCTTTTCTTAACAAATTCAAAACGTGTTCTAAATAGGCATTGCTTTTGTGATTGAACACTTTCCTCTAAGAATAAAATTGATAAGCGTATTGCATCTATTTTAATAAAATGGAGCTTTAAGGTTTTCTTTAACATAGTGGGATCTTTGTCATTTCGCTTAGTGGTTTCAAATCAGGCTCAAAGTATAGTGTTCTATACAGAAATGGTAACATGATATATAACATTGTTAAATCAAGTTTAGCCTAAAGCTGCCTCCTCTCATATTTGAAGTTTGGACTAAAGGTTTCTCTGTACATCCTGAAATATAACAAGTAGATGTGTAAACAGACTGTAGCCCACACTTGTACCAAGCCCCGAGTTTTGTTTAATCAAATGTAACCAACTGTTCGAACCATGTTCAAATCAGGCAAATACCAACCTGTAACCAATCTGGCTTTTTCTGTACCTCACTTGCATTTTCTATACATCACTTTCCTTTTTCTGTTCATAAATCTTCTTTTACCATGTGGCTATGCTGGCATCTCTGAGCATACTCTGGTTTGGGAGGCTGCCAAATTTATGAATTGTTCATTGCTCAATGAAACTCTTTTAAATTTAATATGGCTGAAGTTTTTTTTTTTCAATCACCATGAAATACATGAGACAACTCTGAATAAAAGAAAATCTCCCATATTTTTATCACTTTTAATATATAACATTTATATAATATGTATAGTTGAATTGTGACTTGCCTTTAATTTTTAAATTTAAGAATACACACTTAAAATGACATACTACATATGACACTATATTTTATTTTTAGAAATAAAACTTTTTAAGTTACATTTTATGAAAAAAGATAATTCAATTTAGATATGTATGTTTATATACACATATATATTCGGTTTCAGCATCTTTGTTACGAATAAGGTCACTTTTTGAATCATTTAACAATTTTTCTAGGGCATATCACTTTCACTTCCATCTAAATTGTTTGAAATAAAACACCTGTTTAAAATCCATGAGTGATGATGTCACTGGGACCTTTCTTTCATGCTACAAGTACCTATTTGCATAACTAGAACTACTTATTGTATTTTGGTGAATAACACTTACCATGGTGGTTGATAAAGTGATCTTTATGAGTTTTGTTTACTATAACATCCAATACAATTATGAAGCCATACCACAGGAATAATTAAACTTGTGTCAAATCTCTTTGCCTCCTTTACCCACTTTATTCAGTGACTACCATTGGTATTGAAAACTGGCATTGATTGGGTTACTTTCTGTTTTTTAAAAAACAGTAGTGTGTGGTTCAAAATAAAGTAATGGAACCATAGCCCCATTCTATGACAACAGAAGGAAGGCTAGGAAGGCTCCCATACTGAATGTTGGCTAAACTCCGAATTGTCAAAAGACATCTATTTTTTTAAATCTAGCCCATGCTAGTGTTAGTAAGATGTGTCATTTAAGTGGAGAGTAAAAATTGGGGTGTGTGTATACACATATACCCACAATTATACATTATTAATTACATTAATAACATTATTTAACTTTACATTTTTCCCACAGGCATTAAATTATGATGAAGGCCACAGAAAAATGATTAAGGTCAAAGTCTAGAATCAATTGTCAGCCTATGTTATGGACATAACATTTATGTACCATTGGGTCATGAGGGTGGAGCGCTCATGAATGGAATTAGCGACCTTATGAAAGAGAGACTAGAGAGCTGTCTCATCCCTTCTGCTGTGTGAGGACCTGGTGAAAAGATGTCAGCTATGAAACAGAAAGCGAGGCCTCAGCAGACACTACATCTTTTGGTGCCTTGATCTTGGACTTTCCAGCCTCCAGAACTGTGAGTAATAAATTTCTGTTGTTTATAATCTACCCAGTCTATGGTATTTTGTTATGGCAGTCCAAATGAACTAAGGTATTCTCTAAAGTGTTTCTGCCAAGACTTCTCCTTAGTGGGGACCTTGGAAATGCTTTTCCTCTCTTTGACTCAGTACTCAGTACTTTTTCAGGCTTAAGCCCTTCCTCTCTCTTTTCCCTTGACACCACCTTCAAGTCAATAGAAGAGCAGAGCCTTCTGTCTGAGGCTCTCTGTGCACTGAAAAGCCCCCCACATCTGCCCTAATCCACTAGCAATGCCCGCCTGCTGCTGTTCCATGGGGGGAAACTGGAACACTAAGAGAGCTGATGCTTTCTCTTGTTTCATTGTTCCCTTATACAATCACAATTAAGTGATTAAAGGCTTGACTATTACTTTCATTTTTACTTCTCTTAATTAAACACTGTACATCTGGCAGCTCAACTGTCTCCAGCTCAGCTCAGCTGTTGACAATTGATGAGGAGACAGAGGAGAAAGAGATGCTATTGAAAGGTGACAGATCAAAGAGTGAGAGATTTAATGAGAATCATTAAAACAAGTAAATAAAAAGTAATAGATTAAAATATATGTGACACCCAACACTATTTTCATAATATGAATGCAATAAAAGAATCATAGACCTAGATTTCAGAGATATTTCTTGTGTTCGTTTACCATGAACTGTGCAAAGTGATGATAGGGTTCTGATATACATCTGTTTCAATTAAACAGTGTATAGTGCAATGCAAGTACTGCTTGTATCCTCTGTGTCACTTTAGGACTCATTGGATAGGAAAATATTCATGGGAAAAATAATTTGGAAAATAAACAAATTGAAGATTCAAGTAGGGGTATGATTAGTGCTTGTTTTCCTATAACGGCGCATTTAAACACAGCATATTCTATTCATGACAGTATCAAAATTTGCAGCACTTAAACAATAAGAGAAAATCTCCAGTGAAAGGAGACACAATTTTGTACAACTTTATAAAATAGGTAAAATAGATAATGCAAAACAGAAGACAGGCATATGAGTATTTTAATTCCTTGTCTATATTCACCAAAGTTGATGGCATACGACATAGTAAATAGGGAGTAAGAGCTTTGACCCCTCAAGGTTCTTTAAATCCTGAAGGCATTCCACTTTTGATGGGCTTGAGTTCAGAGCAATTTGACATGCTCTCTCTGTGATTAGAACTGCTGTAGTTAGCTTGAGAGCAGCAGAAAAAGCTGTCAGATTAATAAGCGAGAAAATGCTGCTTAAAGCAAGATTTTAGAGTCTGCTTCTCACCTCATTTGCCAACTCTACCTCAGAGACCACGTATTTGAACAGCTCTTACCTTAAATACTATGCATTCCCTATGTTCGTTTTAATTACGAGCTGCCTTACAGGAGACTGAATTCCCAGTCTTCGTCATGATAACTACCACAGCTTCAAATTGTTTCTGCTATCTCAAACACAGGACAAACCTTATTCCTATTTGATTAAGATATTTTAAACACTCCCCTGTCTGCCCCCCAAAACAGCTATTCATCAACTATTGCAGGACTTGAGATTTTTTTGAAAGAAATATATCATGATTCTACTTTGAAGTATGAGGTTAAATAAACCCAACCAATACTGTAATTGAGAAAACTGAAAAACCTAATATCATTAGTGAAAGTTGAGTTATTACAGTATTGATATAAGAAAAAATAGGTATATTAGAGTGAGATTAAATGCACATATAATGTCTATGTCCAAAGTCCAATAAGAGATAAATTCTTTTTTTTTTTTTTCTGTTTTTCTTTTTTTTTGAGATGGAGTCTCACTCTGTCACCCAGGCTGGAGTGCAGTGGTGCGATCTCGGCTCTTGAAGCGTATGAATTAGTATTTGATCAACCATACTAAATGCCAGGCACTACCTTAAATGATAGATTATGTGTTACCTCAAAAATCAACTAAGATGACATAATTAATATGGATGTTTGAACGAGGGTCCTGAGATGCCCACCAAGGGCATCCAGGTCACACCCTTAGCATGTACCTTCTATTAGAACTTGGTTTGCTTTTACAGCACTTGTTTTTTGACCACATAGACAGACCACTGGTAACTGGCAGGTAGTTTAGTATTTTAGGCTCCTCTGGATCATTTCACAGTGTGCATCCACTGTGCTCCGTACTGAGTGTGGACACAGAGCTGCAATGTGCATACCCGTGTGTGCTGCCTAGTCACTGCACATTTCCTAGAGACTGTGTAACATGATGGTTTGGGTATGACAATAAAAACCGTAAGAAAACAGAGGTTAGATCCAGATGAAATTGGCTTGCTAAAAAGGTAGTTTTCAGTGTCACATAGAGTAATTATTTTGGCCTTTCACCATGTTAAGATTATAAATTCTCAGGGATAAGGTCAGAGATTCCTGCAGTGTATTAGTCTGTCATCACATTGCTATAAAAACTACCTGAGACTGGATACTTTATGAAGAAAAGAGGTTTAACTGACTCACAGTTCTGCAGCTTAACAGGAATCATGACCAGGAGGCCTCAGGAAACTTACAATCATGGCAGAAGGTTAAGGGGTAGCAAGCACCTTCTTCACATGGCAAAAGGAGAGAGAGAGAGCAAAGGGGGAAGTGCCACACTCTTTTAAGCCATCAAATCTCATGAGAACTCTTTCACTGTCACAAGAACAGCAAAGGGGAAATCCGCTCCCATGATTCAGTCACGTCCCACCAGGCCCCTCCTCCAATTTGACATTAGATTTGAGCAGGCACACAAATCCAAACCATATCATTCTTCCCCTAGCCTCTCCTAAATATCATGTTCTTCTCACATTGCAAAATACAACTACCCCTTCTCAATAGCCCCCAAGTCTTAACTCATTTCAGCATTAACTCAAAAGTCCACAGTCCAAAGTCTCATCTGAGACAAGGCAAGTCCCTACAACCTATGAGTATGTAAAATAAAAAATAAAAAAAAATTAAAAAAAACAAGTTAGTTACTTCCAAGATACAATAGGGGTATAGGCACTGGGTAAACACTCTCATTCGAAATGGGAGCGACTGGCCAAAACAAAGGGGCTACCATCTCCATGCAAGTCTGAAACCAAGAAGGATAATCATTAATCTTAAAGCTCCAAAATAATCTCCTTTGGCTCCATGTCTCATATCCAGGGCATGCTGATGCAGGAGGTGGGCTCCCAAGACCTTGGGCACTCTATCTCTGTAGCTCTGCAGGGTACAGCCCTCTCAACTTTTTTCACAGGCTGGTGTTGAGTGCCTGCGTCTTCCAGGCACACGGTAAAAGCTGTCAGTGGATCTGCCATTCTAGTGTCTGAAAGACAATGGCCCTCTTCTCACATCTGGGGGCTGCAACCACACATTTTCCCTCCACACTTCTCTAGTAGAAGTTCTCCATGAAGGCTCTGACCCAGCAGCAGACATCTGCCTGGACATCCAGGCATGTCCATACATCCTCTGAAATCTAGGAATAGGTTACCAAACCTCACCTCTTGCCTTCTGTGCAACCATAGGCCCAACACCCATGGAAGCCACGAAGGCTTGCAGCTTACCCTCTCTGAAACCATGCCCTGAGCTGTACCTTGGCCCCTTTTAGCCATGGTTGGAGCTGGAGCAACGAGGATGCGGGGTGCCATGTCCTAAGGCTGCACAGAACAGCTGGGCCCTGGGCCTGGCCCATGAAACTATTTTTCCCTGCTAGACTTTTGGGCCTGTGATGGAAGGGGCTGCTGTGAAGGTCTGTGAAATGCCCTGGAGGCATTTTCCCCATTTTTTTGGCTATTAACATTCAGTTCCTCTTTACTTATGCAAATGTCTACAGCAGGCTTGAATTTCTCCCTAGAAAATGAGGTTTTATTTTCTACCACATGGCTGGCTCCAAATTTTCCAAACTTTTGTGCTCTGCTTCCATTTAAATATAAGTTCCAGTTTCAGATAATCTTACTTCATGCAAAGGAACGTACACTTTTATAAATTTCACAAAATTTACTCTTTTGTAAATACACTTTATTTATATCTTGAATGCTTTGTAGCTTAGAAATTTTTTCTGCCGGATACCCAAATCATTTCTCTCAAGTTGAAAGTTCCACAGATCTCTAGGGCAGAGGCAAAATGCCACCACTCTCTTTGCTAAAGCATAGCAAGAGTTACCTTTACTCTAGTTACCAATAAATTCCTCATCTTCATCTGAAACCACCTCAGCCTGAACTTCATTGTCCATATCACTATCAGCATTTGGTCAAAACCATTCAACAAGTCTCTAGGAAGTTTCAAACTTTCTGACATCTTCCTGTCTTCTTCTGAGCCCTCCAAACTGTTCAAATCTCTGCCAGTTACCCAGTTCCAAAGTCACTTCCACATTTTCAGGTATCTTTATAGCAATACCCCACTCCTGGTACCAATTTTCTGTGTTAGTCCATTCTCATACTGCTATAAAGAGCTACCTGAGACTAGGTAATTTTTGAAGAAAAGAGGTTTAATTGACTCACAATTCTGCATGCTTAACAGGAACCATGACTAGGAGGCCTCAGGAAACTTACAATCATTGTGGAAAGTTAAGGGGAAGTAAGCACCTTTCTCACATGGTGGCAGGGGAGAGAGAGAGAAAGCTAAGAAGGAAGTGGCACATACTTTTAAACCATCAGATCTTGCAATAACTCACTCACTATCATGAGAAGAGCAAGGGTGAAATCCACCCCCATAATCCAATCACCTCCCACTAGGCCTCTCCTTTAATTTGACATGAGATTTGGATGGATACACAAACCCAAACCATATCGCTTAGCCTGGCAGGATCTCCTCTCGAAAGGCCTTAAACCATCAGCACCCAATACCAGTTTATCCATCATGAATGAGAGCTGGGGCATGCTCACAGACTACTCTCCAGCCTGACAAATCCTGACCTGAAATTGCTTATTTTAAGTGTATTGAAAAAAATATTTCCTACGTATATTGTAGTGTGCTCATTTTTACCATCCTCTGACTCTATGTTCTATTTTATTGCGTATAAAAACAAATGTTTTTGTAAAAAAATTACCTGTTGATTTAAGTCTTAAAGTGCAAATAGAATAAGACCCTTCTCTAGAAAGAGATGGCCAGAAACCCGCTGTGATTATTCACAGCAGAGCATGGAGTCCTATGAGAAATCTCTCCCTGCCCAGCAGTGTGAGAGTAGGGTCCAGGAGATACACTGCACCAGCCAAGAAGCACGAAACACAGGAATGGAAGTGGAGTGTCTTCCTGGAAGACATATGTTCCTTTTTTCTCAATTCACTAGACAGGTGGGGGCAGTGATAACTTAATTGAAAGCAGAAGGGGAGAAGCTGCCTCAGGCAGCTTGCACTCTCGGAAAGCACTTGGAATCATAGCAGAGAAAGACTTTGATTGATTTAATTACCACTCAAGTGTAGAGAGGTTGGAGCCCACAGGCATACTCCAAGCATGCACAAGTTCCTTCTGTTAGATAAAATTTATGCTATTGAGAAAGAATAAAGCTGGAAGGATGAGAAAGAATCTGGAAGTATTGTCTTCTAAAGAGGAAATTGCTATTCTTCTAGTTCTATGCATCTATGCAAAAACGGAATGCTATAGTGTTACCAGCATCTGCTTTATTTTCTCCTTTTCACCTCCAGAGGATGGGGCAAGGCAATTCCTCAAACAGGAGGTGCCTGGTAACTGTTTCTGCCCAAGTAATTGTAATTGATGGTTCATACTATAGAATACTTACTATGTGCCAAATATTGTTCTAAGATGCATATTACATTTATCAAGTAATAACCCTTACTACAACTGGATATTTAAGGTTGGTACTATTATGATCCCCATTTTGCAGAGGAAGAAACTGAGAATTCCTGATTTCTCAGAAGCAGAAGAGCCAGCATTGGAATACAGGCAGTCTGGCTTTAGAATCCATGTTTCTAATTACTACAGTATACTGCCTCTGAATTATAGCATGACAAATGATAAAAGAGAAGGGGTGAGAGAGATGGGGCAAATGACAAAGGCTACAAGGTAGTACATACTCAGAAACTTCTATTTCATGTTAGGTATCCCTAGGATGACTGATAGCAACTAAGAACAATGTTTACAAACCTAAGGAATGGTGATGGGTCACAACTGATTTGATTAAATAAAATTGAATTCCACTAGATTGTGTCCCTAATAGAAGACCTGTAGATTTCACCCCTAGCCAGTGTTAGTGGCACCTGGGAACTTACATAGTTATCACCGAATGAAGACATACCCTCTGCCCTTGTTATGCAGTATAAGGGTCCCAGGGAACAAGTAATCATCAAGAAATAGTGATGCTTGATGAAATATGTAATCTATATTATTTTGGTAAGATTAAATCCCATCTCTTGGTAGGGGATTACACATTTCTCTAGCTTTGCGTGTTCTTAGGAGTGAAAAGTGAATTGAGTGAGGATTTATTACTGACAGGGCCTCCTCCTTATTGGAAAGTCCAGATAGATATTTTATGGGAACTCCAGTCACTGTAACCCAGTGAATTAGCATCATTTAAAATATTCCTATCTGGGTGACAGATACACATTAGTTACAGGAGAGCAATATCAATACAGCTCAAAAAACAGATCTGGAGTGCCTAAGGAAGCAGAGTATTCATTAATTAATGGCTCCTGCTATGGTTAGAAAAGTATGGGGAAGAAATAGCTGGCATCCTATATTGGTGTGACAGTCCATTGGAAAAGAACAGGTGAAGAAATCTTTATAGGTTTACTAGATATTACCAGTCAAACTAATACCACCACCCCCAAAATTCCCATGTATAAAAAGGTATTGCTGATAAACGTCTGCTTAAGATCATATTTTCCAGGAGGCAAACTCTGTGTGGAGATTAGTGTCTAGGAAAATTACTAGGAAGAAAGCAGATTTTGAAAAAGGGAAATCTTATGCTGTGGCAAGGTCACAATAATGATTTACTTGGCTGGCCTCGGTGGCTCATACCTGTAATCCCAGCACTTTGGGAGGCCGAGGCAGGTAGATCACCTGATGTCAGGAGTTCAAGACCAGCCTGGGTAACATGGTGAAACCCTGTCTCTGCTAAAAATACAAACATTAGCCAGGCATGGTGGCGGGTGCCTGTAGTTCCAGCTACTTGGGAGGCTGAGGCAGGAGAATTGCTTGAACCTGGAAGGCGGAGGTTGCAGTGAGCTGAGATTGCGCCACTGCACTCCAGCCTGGGTGACAGAGCTAGGCTCTGTCAAGAGAGAAAGAAAGAGAGAAAAAGAGAGGGAGGGAGGGAGGAAGGAAGGAAGGAAGGAAGGAAAGAAGGAAGGGAGGGAGGGAGGGAGGAAGGAAGGAAGGAAGGAAGGGAGGGAAGGAAAGGATGATTTACTTGATCATATATAGGTAGCTGTGAAGGGCATAGCCCTTCACAGTTGTCCTAAATTACAGAGAGACAGATGGGGCTTCATAGCTTTGCAGTGGCCTGTGACTGGGTGTGAGGTACCCTGTGAAAAGGATATGTTATTGACTAGTAACTCTTTTGAGCTGAGGCAGTTCCCTTCGGTTCTCAGTGGATGTCTGAACAACATAGCACAACATTCACGCAATGTCATAGTTTTGGACGGGCCATAACACAGTAGTGCAAGTCAAGGCCCAAATATAAGTATAGGTAAATAGTTATAGAAATTGCAATGGATCTGGCAGAATGCTCTGTCAAAAGCTGATTCATCTGTGGGGCCACACTCTGGAGCTTGGGGCTTTGGATAGAAATAGAACAAATCTCCCGACATGTTAAATGCAAATACCCACCAAAGGGGCAGTTCTCCACCTGCCTTTTGGAATTGCAAAGCAGATATTATTACAGAGATGTCTGAAATTACAACCTGGCCTCACATCTAATAGGCTCAGAATGGCTGGGTGCTATCTTATTGTGGACTAGAAAACACTTTGTGCCACTAACCAAGAATAAAGCAATCACAGCAGCAGCCCTCCAAGCCAGCAAGAAACCTTCATGATTATAGCATCATAAAACTGCTCCCAAGGGCACAAAGGAAGCCCAGGTTTAAAAAGTGGACTACATGACGTCTTTACCATCAAGGCCAGGTGAAAATATGCCTTGACCTGACTGCACTGGATTCTTTCTCTGGATAGAGAAAGCTTGTGCCTGCATCAACTGTAATTATTATCCTCACCAATCTAACTGTACACCCATAAGCATAAACCCAAATGATCACCAGTGAAAAAATAGTAATTTTACAGCCAAAGCTATACAGTATTAGGCAAAAACGGGCCATGTGCATTGGACGTCCCAGTTACTTAATAACCACTAAATTTTGAAATAGACTGATAGTAATTCATGTGAAAATTACCATGCCAATGTTTATCTATCTAGCTAAAAAAATCGACACAGCCACACAATGTGGTTCTGTCTAAAAGGAAAAAAATATTTATTTAATGTTCCTTCAATAATGGAAGAAGTAAGCATGGTGTTAATTTTACACAAACTCCCTGAGGTACAAGCAGAAGATTCACATATTATATCAGTATTCACCACAGTGAATGTCAGTATTCACCACAGTGCAAGTAACAGAAGTTGTCTCACTCTGCAGATGACCTTGATTCATGCTAATACTATAATTTAAATATCCATGATTTCCTTTAAAAAGAGATATTACTGATTGGGAGACTTATTCATTTATACAATATTTTTTTTTGTTGCAGCAGGGATACCAGTAGTGGGGCTTATTGTATCTCCCATCCTTCCACAATGACTTATCACAGTAGTTCACTCACCACTGGGGGCCAGAATTCCTCAGAATTGGGATCTGCATAATGTAAGGTACTAGGCCCCATAGGCCCCACAGATGTTATATACAAGCTCTCTGGAAATAAGGGAATGGAAATTGAAAAGTATGATTGCTAATATTTTCACCACTATAAAAATTATTGGTAATATTGTTACAAGAATTCAGGCAGCTCTTCTAAAGGAAGTGGATAGAATTTATGAAGTTGTAATACTAAATCACTTGGCCCTCAACTTCTTTCTGGCAGTTTGGAGGATTTACACACTATGTTAGATATATCAGGTCCTGGTCTATAAAAATATCTGTATAAATCAGTCAGGGATTTGGGGGAAAAAATTAAAATACAATGGTTTATCAGCCACTGTACCTTAAAACAGGACAACAGGAATTGAAGGTGGTTCCAAAACCGTTCCAATTAGTGTCTGAGGGTGAGTGCAATGAACTGTTCACTTACCAAAAAATAGGATAATGTGCCTTGTAGCAATTAAGTTAGCAATAACATGTTTTCTTACTAGGTAGAAAGAATTACTGCAGGTATTATGTTGTTCTTGATTATTAAGTTTCATCAGAGAACAGGAGATTGCCACTGAGTTAGATTACAATTTCATTGTTTCATTGTATTTATGCATGCATGATACCTGATCATCATCATAAAACATAAAAACAGTAGAGCAAAATGACCTTGATAGGTCAAAGGAAAATATTTTGACCAAAACCTAGATATGAGTTGTGCTAAAGGTACATGCACTGTGATATGAACAGGGCATAAGAGATGCTGTAACATCCCATGGCTACAGTCCCATGGCTGCAGACTATCCATGCCATCCACCTGATGCTCCCCTCAGAGAATATGGAGAGACTCAGAGTAATCTTGTCACTAAATAACCCTGGTCAAGTGCATTCTGGATTCATTTGCTAATAATATATCTTTTCAGCTACCAAAGTAAAATTTTACTTTTATAAGATTTATATGTCGATGTGCTCATTTTCACCAAACCTGGCAGAGCAAGATTTGTGTGCCTACATTGAGAAGCTAAAAATCTTGTCCACATTTTTATAGTGGACTTCACAGTATTCTAATGCACATATGACTTTCTGCAAACCCTGTGCTTTTAATCACTGTACTTTATTGCCACAGACAACTTAAATTATACATATCACAATTACATTATATGACTTGCCACAAAAAAATGTCTCTTCCAGGCCTGGCATGGTGGCTCATGCCTGTAGTTCTAGCACTTTGGGAGGCCGAGGCAGGTGGATCACCTGAGGTTGGGAGTTCGAGACCAGCCTGACCAACATGGAGAAACCCCTTCTCTACTAAAAATACAAAATTAGCCAGGTGTGGTGGTGCATGCCTGTAATCTCAGCTACTTGGGAGGCTGAGGCAGGAGAATCACTTGAACCAGGGTGGAGGAGGTTGGGATGAGCCAAGATCGTGCCATTGTACTCCAGCATGGGCAACAAGAGTGAAACTCGTTCTCAAAATAAAAAAAAGTCTCTTTCAATACATGTCTTATAATTTTAAAGGGTGCCACTTTTTACCAAAGCCAATATTAATCTAAATGCATTTCAGGATTGATTGTGGCCTCCTTCTCCCCACCACATTCAATTGACGATTACATCCATTGATTACACCTCCTATATAATTACTGAATCTTTCTTCTCAGACTCGAGCTTTACTGCTGATTCAATTACCTCCCACTTTGACTCGTGTGGAAAC
Organism: Homo sapiens; assembly: GCF_000001405.40. NCBI lineage: Eukaryota > Metazoa > Chordata > Mammalia > Primates > Hominidae > Homo > Homo sapiens. The sequence continues at coordinate 85,555,171 of NC_000013.11, forward strand.
CATATATAAATAATTATCCTGTCTCTAGAATTGGTCCCTAGAAAATTAGTCCTTCACACTATGACCATAGAGACTTTCTAGATCTTCTAGAAACATAGGAACTTTCATTACTATGATCATGTTACTCTCCTTTATAGTGGTTTCCCATGGCTTAATTAATCATTGACAAACCCTTTTAATTAATACCTAAAAACCCTTTATGAATTATAATCTACTTTTAAAATCATTTCTAATGAATGTTCTTTTCACCCTGCTTCTGAAAATTTACATTTGCCAAAATTAGCCACATTATTTTGTTCATCCATAGCTCTGTCATTATCCTCAACTTGAATAGTTTTCCTGCTTGGTAACATATATTCTCCTTTCAAAACATTTTACACTTTATGCCTTGCCTTCGTTGACTTCCAATGATCATTCTTTCTTGTTTAGGCATTGAGACCTCAGTCACAAGTATAATGCCAGGGATTTAGTAGTCATTAAATTAATATTTAGTGAGTAAGTAAACAAACAAAAGATGAATGATGAAATTTCATCATCCATATTTTCAACAGGCACCATATGTAGCTCTATGTGGTAGGAAGACCCTAAGATGGCTCTAATGATCCCAACTCTTGATATTTATGAATACAATATGGCAGAAATGATCACATCACTTCCAAGATTATATTATAAAATAATTGTGATTACTGCCTTGTGGGCTGTCTTTCATTTTCTCTTGTTTTATTTGCCCTGAGGGAAAACAGTTGCCTGATGCAGGCCTATGGAGAGGCAGTTCAGAAGAAGCTGAGTCTTTAGCTAAGACAATAGGTTCAGCTGATGGGGATATAAAGCTTCATCAAAGAATTTGAACCAAAGATACCCAGCTTAGCCACAGCTGGATTTCTGACCTACAGAGAGTAAGAGATAATAAATGTATGCGGTTTTAAGATGCTAAATATGAGGTAACTCATCATGAAGTCATAGTTATCTAAATTATACTATAAATGCATGGCTAAATGTACTCTAGATGTTAAAACAAATGCACAAACAAACATTTAAGAATATTGTAACAATGCTTGTGTTTTTTTTTTAAACTTATTCATGAGGTGAAATCATGTACAAGTTTGTGGCGTGCACTAGTTTAAATATTAGAAAATAGTGGAGAACTAGCATAGATGAACAGCATAAATACGTGTAACGTAGAATTGTGGAAAAAAAAACAGATGATCCATGTAAGATAATGCTAGTATATATTTTTCTTACACGTTTTCCTATAATTATATGGCGCTTGGTTCTGAATATGCTACTTTTTAACAGACCGAACTATTTGTGTTGCCATATTTCTATGATGCTAGGATGGACATTTTGTCACATTAAAACATTTCTTAAACTGGGTAGATCTTAAAATTGATGGCATTGTTCAAATGCTGGTGAGCAGCAGCCATTCATCATGGCTGTCACTGCCTGTGAAACCTGATTGTTGGAAATCCAGGTAGCATGACCAGACAACTGTAACTCCTCAAAGTTTCAGTTGACAAAACTATTTAAAGAAATACGACATCCAGCTATTATGTGCATATCGGCTTAGACTTTCTGGAAAGATCAAGAATGCAATGGCATCAAAATTTGCCATAGGAGGCGATGAGTTGAGTGAAAATCTCAGAGGCAAGAACAGAGTACCATTTTAGAAACTACTCCATTACCAATATTCTTAATATACAGATGGTGGTATTGTTCAAAAAACGGTGAATGTGGGCAACTCCCAGCTGAGAAAAGATCAAGAAAACCTCAGTGGGAAGACAGGAATCCTTATCTACTATTATTTATTAATATTTTCTCTTTCTATATTGATAATATATTTAATAAAAATATGTTTAAATCTGTTATAGTAGCTTTTAAATAAGAATAAAGTATTCTAAATAATTTAAAGTATTTCATCACAGTTCAATTAGCAGCACATTTTTTCCTTAGTGTCGTGTAAATTAACGGTGTGCTTCATAGAGAGGAAGCCTCTGACATAATAAAGTCTAATATATTCCTGGGAACTTCACAGATTGATATCTATCTTACCTGGTTCTTGAAGGAATTTGAGTTGGCCTAAAACATATATATATATATAAACAGACAGTACAGCAGATCATCTAAGTTACATATATGCATTTACAAATCACATCGCAAAATTATAAATACAACTTTTACAATGCTGTAGAACAAAAATAAATATTTTTAAAAATCCTTAAAATTTATGAATCTTTTTATGACACCTGTTGTAGACCAGCAGTCTCTAATGGAGAGGAGAAGTATTGGAATTTAAATATTATGTTCCTCCAGGTTTTAGGGTCATGTAAAGAACTGATTTAGGGCTGTTTAATGCAGGTAATCTGGAAAGCTCTCTTTGACCAGCAAAGAAAACACCATTTGGAGTATTCCTGTAAATTTAGCTAATAGAAAATAATCTAGTCCATGTTTACTCCGGAATAAAACATTGTTAAAAGCCTTGGGAACAGTGAGGTTAAACTAGGATATAAATAAATGCTTGTTAAATAAAATGAAATTTTAAAAAGTGAAGTCAGGTAGCTGTAATGAGGCTGGTGAATGGACGAAATGGAATACTAGTGTTTGGTGTTTGGGTTGAATAGGCAAGAAGCTGTGCTTGTATTTCAGGGCTGTAGTCTTTGCTAAACATCTGACTTACACGATTCCCAGAAGACACGTGACGTTAGTTCATAACAAGGAAGCACAAAAAAGTTAGAACTTGATATTTTGATAGATTAATTTTCTGAGATTTCCCACATTGGGAAAGATAAAATGTTATTTTAAATGTTTCTTCTTACACTCCCCAGTGCCTCTGTTTTACTGTAAAAAGCCTACATTCTGCTGGAAACTATTGAAAAGTGTAAAATATAGTTTTGGAATCTGCTTGGGAAAAATATAAGACCCAGAACAAATGAACATATAAATTATTACCATGTCTTTCTTCAGGACAACAGTAATTTTCATTCATTGTTGTTTTGCTACTGTTTTTGACCTTTAAGTGTTCAAGATCCAAATATTAACTGGCAGTGAATTCTGTCAGTTCTGGAATGAACTTTGGAAAAAGAAATAGGCTCACATTTCTTGGGAACTTCAAAGGAGAGGGGATAATTTACTGCCTTCTTTTGAGGCTTAGCTACTAACTCCAGAAATTAGACGATGCTGCAGGCTGCCATGAATGACTGGGCAGGAAAAAAATAATCAAAACATTATCGTTTAAACCAGTGTAGCTGATTATGATATAAGTATGACAATGAAATGGTCACTTGCTGTTGATTGAAATTTAAAAATATAATAATATTGATTGATTTTTAAATATTGTTATATTTAGCAGAGTAATATATGAATTCAGTCTCAAATCAAAAGCATAAACAGCTTACATCGAATAGCCACTTTCTCCTGTTCTCTCCTTTTCCATCCATGGTTCCTCTCTTAGATGTCACTTCTTAAAATGTTTTTATTTTGATTTTTTGATGTTTATTTTTCTTACTCTCAATATTTTATTTACAGTTACATTCTTTGATTAACAAATGTGGAATATTTTTTCTCCCCCTTTATAAAATGTATGGATTTCAATGGATTCTGCCACCTCTCCTTTTCCCAGTGCTTGATATTTATGTTACTTTTAGGTCTTTTCTTGATTGGTTTTTCTAACTTGACTGAATATATGTAAACTTCAGTTAGGCTTTCCATCTCCTTTAGTCTTCAATATGTAAGGTGAAGATTTTAGCTTCATTATGTATTTTTTAAAACCTTCCTCTCCCTTTCCATGCCTTACCTCCTTTCAGCTCTGCTTTCGATTTACACTGTAACTACATTTAGCCACAACGTTATTCATAGTTGTATTCCACAGTCACAACAAAATCTTCTGTACTGTGTTAATAGGTTTACTTTAAAAGCCAAAAAAAATAATAAACTAGCTCCAGGTTATCATTACTACATAAATATATATTTTTGTAATACTGAGCTAAGCTGTTGTGTCTTAATTTCCTTCTCTAGAAGTCTAATGTAGGATCTCTTGGTTCATGCTACACATTGCCATTAATTAATTCTCTTATAGTCATTCACTCACTTTCAATATTGACTTATTTTTATTCACTCATAGCTTAATCATGTTTTCGTCCTTTTTGTTTTAGTTGTTTTCTTTTTTTTTTCATTGTATTCCAGTTTCATTTGCTGTGTTACATCCTGCGTCTTCTTTGTCTCACACTTGCATCCATGCTTTCCTCTGTCTCAAGCCTCTTTTCTTCCTGGAAAAATTATTCCGATTTTCTCTGTCAACCTTGGATTTCCATTCATTTCTCTCCCGGATTTGGTAATGGCTTTCCTGATATCTGAGTTTCTCTTCCTCCCCCTTTTCCTGGGTTATATCTTTTACTTCTTTTAAAAAGCCTATAGACGTGAAACATTTTGAAACACACCTGTCTACATGGTCTTTATTCTGCACACACAGTAACATTTGGTGCAATTTATTGTGCTCTGACATTTTTCCTCAGAGCATCCCAGTAATTGTTCAACTGTTTTTTGCATCTATTATTACTGATATCAAGCCCAATATCAGTATAATGCTATTCTGTTGCTTTTTCATCTCTTGGTATCACTCAGGTAGTTATAGCTATATATGGGTAATTTTCATCCATTCTTTTCACTGAACCCTTTTAATCTGAAGGCTCAATTTTTTCCAATTGTAGAAAATTATTGACCATTCTTTCTATTTATTATTTTCTCCTTTGTATTTTTTTGCTCATGAACTTGTATTAGATGAATGATAGGCCTCTTCAATTATTCTTTTGCATATATTTTCTCTCATATTGTCTCTCTTTATTCTCGTGTTCCATAATCATGGAGGTTTCTTAATTTTTATTTTATTTAGTTCTTTTTGACCACATTATTATTAACATATTTTAACATATTTAATGCTTTGCCTTGAAGAATTCCATTTTGTTCTATAATTATTCCAGTAGCATTTGTAGCAATTGTTTAATATTAAAAGTTTCTTCAGAAATTGTTCTAGATACAGTAATCATAGAGAATTCGTTTTACCTTTTTTTTCCAGTAATTTTATGTTATTACAATTAGCTTGATTTTTTTCTCTTTTTATTTTTAAATTCATTTTGCTTGTTTTTTTCCATTTATTTTGCTCAATAATCCTTGGTTCACTGTATTTAGGACAGGTCATGTCTGTAGCTTGGATAGCTTTGCCTGTTAATAGGTAAGACTGTTTTATTAATGGGAATCTTGACTACAGTCTCTGGGGGCAAGACAGGGGTGTGGCAGTGAGGCCTCACTCTCTATTTTAATCTGTGGTGCAATCATCCAGAAGAAAATTAGTTCTCTCCAAATAGTATGTTTACGTTCTTTATCTTGGCAGTAAAAAACCAACAGCTAACAGCTTTTCTGGCAGAGAGGGACTAGAAGGGACCACCCAAGGCTCTTATTCTGATTTTATTTTTCACGTTGTTTCATTTTTAACAGCTTTATTGGGTATAATTGACATACCATACACAGCACATATTTAAAGTTAATGTACAGGTTTGGTGAGATTTTACACATGCATATACCTGTGAAATCATCATCACAATCAAGATAATGAACATATTTATCACTCCCAAAATTTCCCCGCAGAAGTTCCCCATGGCTCTGTGTAACCCCTTCCTCTCCTCCCTACCTAAGCAACCACTGATTTGTTTTCTATCACTATAAATTAGTTGGACATGTCTAGAATTTTACATACATGAAATTACATATTATGTACTCTCTCTTATCTGGCTTAATTTCACTTTGTATAATTATTATGAGAGTTCTTTGCATATTCTGGATAAGATACAAGTCCTTTACCAGATAGGTGATTTGAAAAAATATTCTCCTAGTCAGTGGCTTAAGAATGTCTTTGATGATTTTTAGTTATATCTATGTTTTACATTTATGATTATAAATGTAAAGATTGTTTTTGCTAACCAATGCTTTTCATCAACACTTGTTTTTGCACTTCAGTTTTTACTCTCGCCCTTGGCAATACCTGCTGTTACTGAGTCCAGGGAATCTTTAATCTCAACCCAAGAGATCAGTTTCTATCTTTTGTACAACTTTTTCTAAATATGTCAGGATTGTGGTTTGTCCATAATTAAGCTACTTTGAATCTTTTCAAATTCCTGAAATTTCTTTAAATGTTCTGTTTATTAGTACAAGCTCCCATTTTCCCCTGCCTCAACCCTTACATTTGCTTTTATGAAGGTATTTTGTTTTGTTCTACTATAACTTATATTTCCTTTGCATTTTAAGTTAGTTTTAAACTCCTATACCAATAATATCTCAGAGGAATAAAAACAATACATATATGATTACTATGATGTTTTTGTAATTGAAAATACTCATCTGTCCAAATTTGGCATAAATCTCTTCTCCTGGCCTTGACTAATTAATCCCCAGTGAACCATCCACAATAAGAGTTATTTTAGGATATTTCCATTTGCATATCATCAGAGTCTAGCAAAATTAGCAGTCTTGATAAATATTTGGTGAAATGATATCATTTGTTGAAAACAGATATCTATAATAAACATTATTTCCAACCCATCTAAAACTGAAAAAGAGAGTATGTAAACAGATGGATGATTAAATGAATAAATGAATAACCCTATACACAGCATACAACAAGCCCTTGTCCTTATTTAATTAATATTTTATTGTTCCTTAATTCTTTGCAACTAGTTTTGGATATGACTTTTTTTATTTCTATAACAATAGCTTCACAGGAATTCAACACATATTCAAGAAAAGCTCAGATGGCAGAAACTAACCTATACCCAAGGGTACAGCAAAGGATGTGTGAATCCTTGCTCTTATGAATTTTACACTCTAGTTACATGGAAAAGAGAACGAAACTTTAAAATAGATAATGGGGGTAATTTAAAATATTTTAAAAGCAAAACAAAAATAGAGAGTGAAGGATTCTGAGTTTGTCAGACTTTACAAAGGGGCTAAGGCAAAAACTACAGAGTAGGAATGAGTTTGAAAAAGTAAAATAAGGCTAGGGAAAGTGTATCACAAAGAGAATGATGAGAGGAGTTGGTGTAAGATGATGTTGGAAACAGCAGGAGCCAGGTAATGTAAAGCCTAGCAAACTTCCTAGGAATTTAGATTATAAATGGAAAGCAGCCGCTGGATATCAAGCAGCAAGTAATGTGACATGATTCACATTAAAAAATAGATAGATAGATAGATAGATAGATAGATAGATAGATAGATAGATAGGCAGGCCTGGCGCAGTGGCGCACAACTGTAGTCCCAGCACTTTGGGAGGCTGAGGCAGGTAGATCTCTTGGGCTCAGGAGTTCAAAACCCTGTTTCTACAAAACACACAAAAATTAGCCAGGCATGGTGGCGTGCGGCTGCAGTCCCGGCTACCTGGGAGGCTGAAGTGGGAGGAAGGCTTGAGTCTTGGAAGTCTAGACTACAGTGAGCTGAGATCACACCACTGCACTCCAGCCTGGGTGACAGAGTGAGACTCTGTCTTAAAAAAAAATCCATATAACTGTATATATATAGATATATATATATAGTTATAGTTAACAGTTATATATGTATATATATAGTTATGGTTATATATATGTATATATAGTTTGTGTATGTGTGTATAGATTGTGTGTGTGTGTGTGTTTGCTTTCTGATAAATTTATTTTAGGGGGCAAAAAAGAAGCTGGGAATCCAATTAATAGGCTATTGATAGTTCAGAAGAAAAATAACTGAAAATGAGGTGGTAGAGTTGGGGATGGAGAGAAATGGGTGGGAATTAGAATTGAGATGATCTGATGATAGGTTGAATGTGGGGGTAAAGAAAGGAATAAAAGATGATTCTTAGTCTTTCAGCTGGGCACACTTGAAAAATATGATTTTCTTATGTATAAAAGAATAGAAATGGAGAGCAAGTTTTGAGACTTGGTGGTGGGAAGTGAAGAGTTCTGTTTCTCACATGTGAGTGATGAAAGCTGCAGCTCAGGAGAGGGTTGGGGCATCTTTAGTTGTTTGTTTTTAGTTTGGATGTCAAAATTAGAGGTGGTATTAAATTATTATTAACTTCTTAGTTTCATTTTTTTACTACACAGATGTGGACTCACACAGAGACACAGATATAGGCACACAAGCACAGCAACACACAGATACCCTCCTGGGTCTGTCACTCACAGTCACATGGCTCTATGAGAAAAAGAAAATTAGGCAACCATATTTCTAACTTTAATAGGAGTTAGTTTGATTTGTTATTGCCTAATTTAAATTTAGAAAGGCATATAAAGAATTTTCTTTTCTATATTTCCATATGGTCTTCAGATGCCTGGGTGGTATTTTCTAAGCTTTTGGCTCATTTCATCCTACTGAAGACCATACTGTAGTTTTCCTTGCTTGTAAATTGACCCAAGCATAAAATATTTTTCTTCCTTTTCAAATAATTATTTCTATTTCTGTATTTCTCGCCTGACTCCAAGTATTTTTCTCATGAATTTACCAAATTCTAAAATGTTGAGGCAGCTTGTCACTTTTCTCTGCTAAAGTAATGGAATCTAGTTCTCATCTCTCATGCACGTTATTTTATATGGTCATTTAGAATTGCAAGTAAATGTCTTTATTGATTTATTTTATTATTTTTAATCTTATTTTTAATGAAATTAGCCATGGAAATACATTCTTCAGAAGAGATAATAGGGGATTCAGGAAGAGTTTTCAAACAGTGAAAAAATATTATCACATTATAAATCATAGTGATTTAAGTCAAGTGAGTTTCTAAAACACTAATATTTTAATATGCAAGTTATATCATATTTAATCTTTTGTTCAGATTTTACACATAGGCATAATATGTGTATATATGTGAAATCATATGTGTACATAGTGCATCATCATAATTGTCATTATTCATGAGTTCTGTATTTGTAAATTGTCTGCTCGGTAACATTTATTTGCAACCCCAACATTGATATTTCTGGTGTTTTCTTGGACATTCATGGACATGAATATGTGCAGAACAGTGAAAAGTGTCTCTTCTTCCATTCCAGCTAAGATGTGAGAAGGCATGGCTTGGCCTTTCTGTTTCAGCTTTCACACCGTAAACAAGTGTTTTTGCAGTTTATTTGGCACCTCATTTTTCACATTTTGAAAAATGTAATTTACTATTTAAAATTACACCGAAACATAAAGCTAAAGTCTCCTTAAGTGTCCCTAACTGCAAGAATTCTGTGATGTGTCTTACAGAGAAAATTTGGGTTAAATAGGCTTCGTTCAGGCACGAGTTATAGTGCTGTTGGCTGAGTTCAATGTTAATGAATTCACAATATATATTAAGTAAGATACTTTTACGTAGAAATACACATAAAACAGGTTATATATTTATCAGTTGACCTAAATGTGTGACCAGAGGAAACTAAATCTCTATTTCTTCTAAAAGCAGTGACTTAGCACTCTCTAATTCAGAATTCACAGTGACTTTATAAAACATAAGTATGTAAATAATGTGAATACACACACACACACACACACAAACATATACACAGGAGCCTTGTAGGATTGTTGGGTGTGGTATTCAGAATAAGAATAATGCCTCCTCTACAAGATGGCTATGACCTCATGTCTGAAACAAGTGAATGTTAATTTACACAATAAAAGGAACTTTGCCAGTGTGATTAAATTAAGTACTTTGAGATGAGGAGGGTATCCTAGATTAACAGGATGGGTATAATGTCATCTCATTGATTACACTTCCTGAAAAATCCTCAGACATGCGTCTTTTGTTCCTCTTTTATGACCTCTAGAGTTATTATAGCCATTGCCATTTCTAACTTGGACAATTGCCAGTGCCCCCTAGTTTCTCTTTAGTAGACTTCAAATCATCTTCAAATGTGTTGCCAGAATAGGTTGCCTAAAATTCAACTTCACAATTACATTACCTTGTTTCAAACTCTTCAGTATCACCAAACTACCCATTCAATAAAACTCAAGCTGATTAATAGGACATTGAAAGCTTTCTGTGTATGACCTGATCCCAGGCTACCTCTGTCTCTTCTATACTTACTCTTTAATTCACACTTTATGTGCCTCAACACTAAACTGCTTCTGTGTCTACATATGCACTGTGAGTTCCCTCACCTGGTTACTTTTGCTTCTTGGATCCCTTGGCTTGGAATGTCATTTTACTGTTATGGAACATGCCAGTCTATTTTAACTATGTTTTTGTAGTGCATTTAAGATTTCTTCTTTGTAAAATTTTTTCTTTAATTCCTTCTCACTTCCCACTAGATTCACCTAGGAGCTTCTCAACTGAGCTGTCATGACCTGTAAAAAATCAGTATTGTCACAGCTTCCATACCATCACATAATTTACTGTTATGTGTCTGTCTCATCAATTAATACAGCTTTATGAAAATGAGGACCTTAAAATATTCATCCCAGCACAACAAGTATGCAATGTCTAAAGGAATGAATGCGTGATCATCTTTTAGGGACCTATTCCCTGTCTATTTGAATCAATATGTTTTATACACACTGTATGTTTTAGGATAGGGATCTCACAAGTCTTTTCTGGCCGCCACTGGCCCCACCTCTTAACAATGAAACCAACCAAAAAACTTCAGAATGCGTGTAAATAAACAATACATTCCTTTACTGGACATTCATAAAATGACTTTTACTTGCTGCAAATTTAGAAAGAAGCACTTCCTGTCCACAATGAAATAGAATTACACATGGCGTAATATGATAGAACTTTCTTTCCTGAATCCCCATTTTTAAACTCATGTAACGTTGAGTTATTTGTGATGCGACCTTACCACTGACTTATGTCTCAGGAACCTGACTATAAAATATATGGGCCAAAAGTCTCAGGAAAGTAGGTCACTATAACTGTAAACACATGTTTTAGTTTAAAAACAAAAGCAAAAACAAAACCAATATAGTAAAACTAATTGGATTAACAGAAATATGTTATAAAATTTTTCAAGAATATGAGAAATAACTCATGTTTGAAATAAAGACAAGCCCTATTACCAAATCTGGGCATTCCAGTTCATCCTACACTGATAAAATAATTTGGCTTATAACATATAAAGGTAGCCTACACCCCCCTTTAAAAAGTAAATATATGATGATAACCTTCTCAATTTGCTGATTAAAAATTCTCACAAGATTTACTTGGTTTCTGTACAATACTTATGTTGTCATTACTAAATCTAGAATATAAGTTGATGTTTTCTTCTCATAGGAAAAATCAGATCTTTCTAATTTATTATTTTTATAAAGTATCTCTCAATTTTTTGTGTGCTATTTTTGGTCACTTTATTTTTCAGAAATAGCTTTAAGCCTCCCAGTCCATGAAAATTTCTGAAAACCACAAATTTGAGTGTTGACATTGTAGATACATACTTTCATATAACAAATAAAACCATTTCTGACAGCCTGCATCAATTTATATTTATGTTGTTTAATGATCATAATTTTAATTACCATTTATTTAGTATAGTGAATTTTTCTAATTTGTTAAATAATTTTTGTTATTATAAATGATATTTCTATTATTATCAGCCCTTACATCTAGTACATTATATTTGTATATTAAACATATTGAAGGGAAACTTTCTGGTAAATAATTTCTAAGACAAATTATAATGCTTTTTTGGTTTTTGTTTTGTTTTTGAGATGGTGTCTTGCTCTGTCACCAGGCTGGAGTACAGTGGCATGATCTCTGCTCACTGCAACCTCTGCCTCCCGGGTTCAAGTGATTCTCCTGCCTCAGCTTCCTGAGTAGATGGGATTACAGGCACGCACCACCACACCCAGCTAATTTTTTATATTTTTAGTAGAGATAGGGTTTCATCATGTTGGCCAGTATGGTCTCGATCTCTTGACCTTGTGATCCATCCGCCTCTGCCTCCCAAAGTGCTGGGATTACAGGTGTGAGCCACTGTGCCTGACCAAAATGCATTTTTAAATCAAGTATTGGTATGTATTTTTAAAATGAGTTAATACACCAGTATTCTAAATGTGGTATATGTTTTAGAGTCAATCGTTATGTGTTAACATTTGTTTCACTCTATCTTTACTTACCTTGTGAGCTTAAACATTCAGAGTAACTTTAGATCTACATGCTCTACAGACATTATCATATTTTAGTTAAGCCTGTTTCAGTAGTTTTTTTAAACCCAGTTAAAATATGTTATTTAATATAATAAAAATGCCACTAAATTTAGACTAATGAGAAGATTCAAGTAGTAATTTTTTAAAAGATGTTTTTCAGTATGTGAAAATTCTGTTAAGAAAATGTATACAGTATAATAAGTGAACTTTAATTATCTTTGCAAGAATGGAAAGTTGTGCATGACAACAGCATACGAAATCTAATTAGGTGAGTATTGCAGAAGTTGTTTAAACAAGTCCAAATTTTATAAATGTATAGCACTAGGAAAATGATGGTAGCCGAAACCAAAGTAGAGGGAGGAAAAAAAAAAAAGCTAATATTAGGTGATGGGTTTGGTTTTATATAAATTAAGTTTGATGTACCAATAAAAGTATTAATCTAGAGATGTTTACCTGACATTTACAAACTATTAAATAGACAGCATGAGCTGCGTTTTAGTGATCCAGAAAAAGTCCCGGATGTTTAGGTCATTTTTCTCAAAGTTATTTACATATTAATTATAAATTATTTCTCTGCAGAGTTCAGAGAAAAAAGATAAAAACAACAACAAAAGAACAAAAATTAAATATAAGATCGTGGAATTCAAACTGAGTGTCTTAGTATGTTTTCTGTTGCTTTAACAAAATATCAGAGAGTGGGTAATTTATGAAGAAAAGAATTATTTCTTACAGTCTTGGAGGCTGGCTGCCTCTGCTCTGCTTTTAAGGACCTTTTGCTGCATACATAACAAAGAGAAGGGCATCACATGGTGAGAGGTAAAGAGCACAGCAAGTCAGGTTTCTCATTCTCTTATTATAAAGCCACTAGGCTCACCATGGGAGCCCCCGTCTGATAGCCTTATCTAACCCTAATTATGTCCCAAAGGTCCCACCTCCAAATATCATCAACATATTAATTTGGAGATTAAGTTTCCAACACATGAAATTTGGGCTGCTTATTAAAATCATAGCACCAGGTCTGTCTGATTCTAAAGGCTGTGTTTTTGTCCACTCTGCACAGGACCAAACAAGGTCAAAATTAAAGATAAATTTGTATAAGAGAGAAGAAGGAGCAGAGAACTTGGATATACTCACCCAAAGTGTGAAAATTGAGAAAGAGAAATCAGTGAGGCTCATGGTAAAGAGGTCCAGGAATGTGAAAAGAAATCAAAAAGGAAAAATGCAGCAGAAACCAAAATAAGAGAGAATTGCCAGAATTAGAGGATGGTCAGTAGTACGAAAAGCAGCAATTCTGAATAAAAATAAACCTATGGAAAAAATTAGGTTTGGGAATTGATTATTATTATTAATGTTAGAGAAGGTGATTATAATAAACTGCTATAATGAAGGTAGAACTGTGAGAGGAACAAGAGGATAGGTGGTGAGGATGTATGGTAGATAATTGGAGCACCCCCAACCCCATCTGCACCCTTGATTCTCCATACGAACCACTTTCTTAAATTTTGCTTTATTAAAAGAAATTTTTTTCTCTTACCTAACTCATTTTTTTTAATTTTTTTCTGAGACGGATTTTCACTCTTGTTGCCCAGGCTGGAGTGCAATGGCGTGATTTCGGCTCACTGCACCTTCTGCCTCCCGGGTTCAAGCGATTCTCCGGCCTCAGGCTCCTGAGTAGCTGGGATTACAGGCGTGCACCATCATACCTAGCTAATTTTTGTATTATTAGTAGAGACGGGGTTTCACCATCTTAGCCAGGCTGATCTTGAACTCCTGACCTCAGGTGATCCACCTGCTTTGGCCTCCCAAAGTGCTGAGATCACAGGCGTAAGCCAACATGTCCCACCTCATTTTACACATAGCCTGTACTTACATGCATTTTGGGGGGATTATTTTCTTTCAATAACCAAATATCAACTAAAATCGATTTTTTTTTAAATTTCCTTTTTCTTTCAGATGATTGCCACCATTCAAATATTTGACGCCCATTTTATGGTCATTAGTTATGTATAAAATAAAGAAGAAAAGGAATTTCTTCTTAGTATATTTGTGTTTAAACCTCTAGGGCCAAACTCTGCCCTAGAAAATAGAATATGCAGAAGGCATTATAATAGCGAATGTTCTTAGCCTTTCCAAAAGAGAAATTAAAAAAAAAATTCCATCAATGTTCATCAAGGATATTGGTCTAAAATTCTCTTTTTTGGTTGTGTCTCTGCCAGGCTTTGGTATCAGGGTGATGCTGGCCTCATAAAATGAGTTAGGGAGGATTCCCTCTTTTTCTATTGATTGGAATAGTTTCAGAAGGAATGGTACCAGTTCCTCCTTGTACCTGTGGTAGAATTCGGCTGTGAATCCATCTGGTCCTGGACTCTTTTTGGTTGGTAAGCTATTGATTATTGCCACAATTTCAGCTCCTGTTATTGGTCTATTCAGAGATTCAACTTCTTCCTGGTTTAGTCTTGGGAAGGTGTATGTGTCGAGGAATTTATCCATTTCTTCTAGATTTTGTAGTTTATTTGCGTAGAGGTGTTTGTAGTATTCTCTGATGGTAGTTTGTATTTCTGTGGAATCGGTGGTGATATCCCCTTTATCATTTTTTATTGCGTCTATTTGATTCTTCTCTCTTTTCTTCTTTATTAGTCTTGCTAGCGGTCTATCAATTTTGTTGATCCTTTCAAAAAAACAGCTCCTGGATTCATTAATTTTTTGAAGGGTTTTTTGTGTCTCTATTTCCTTCAGTTCTGCTCTGATTTTAGTTATTTCTTGCCTTCTGCTAGCTTTTGAATGTTTGCTCTTGCTTTTCTAGTTCTTTTAATTGTGATGTTAGGGTGTCAATTTTGGATCTTTCCTGCTTTCTCTTGTGGGCATTTAGTGCTATAAATTTCCCTCTACACACTGCTTTGAATGTGTCCCAGAGATTCCGGTATGTTGTGTCTTTGTTCTCGTTGGTTTCAAAGAACATCTTTATTTCTGCCTTTATTTCGTTATGCACCCAGTAGTCATTCAGGAGCAGGTTGTTCAGTTTCCATGTAGTTGAGCGGTTTTGAGTGAGTTTCTTAATCCTGAGTTCAGTTTGATTGCACTGTGGTCTGAGAGACAGTTTGTGATAATTTCTGATCTTTTACATTTGCTGAGGAGAGCTTTACTTCCAAGTATGTGGTCAATTTTGGAATAGGTGTGGTGTGGTGCTGAAAAATAATGTATATTCTGTTGATTTGGGGTGGAGAGTTCTGTAGATGTCTATTAGGTCCACTTGGTGCAGAGCTGAGTTCAATTCCTGAATATCCTTGTTAACTTTCTGTCTCGTTGATCTGTCTAATGTTGACAGTGGGGTGTTAAAGTCTCCCATTATTATTGTGTGGCAGTCTAAGTCTCTTTGTAGGTCACTCAGGACTTGCTTTATGAATCTGGGTGCTCCTGTATTGGGTGCATATATATTTAGGATAGTTAGCTCTTCTTGTTGAATTGATCCCTTTACCATTATGTAATGGCCTTCTTTGTCTCTTTTGATCTTTGTTGGTTTAAAGTCTGTTTTATCATAGACTAGGATTGAAACCCCTGCCTTTTTTTGTTTTCCATTTGCTTGGTAGATCTTCCTCCATCCTTTTATTTTGAGCCTATATGTGTCTCTGCACGTGAGATGGGTTTCCTGAATACGGCACACTGATAGAGTTGGAAGTTCTGGCCAGGGCAATTAGGCAGCAGAAGGAAATAAAAGGTATTCAATTACGAAAAGAGGAAGTCAAATAGTCCCTGTTTACAGATGACATGATTGTATATCTTGAAAACCCCATTGTCTTAGCCCAAAATCTCCTTAAGCTGATAAGCAACTTCAGCAAAGTCTCAGGATACAAAATCAATGTACAAAAATCACAAGCATTCTTATACACCAATAACAGACAAACAGAGAGCCAAATCATGAGTGAACTCCCATTCACAATTGCTTCAAAAAGAATAAAATACCTAGGAATCCAACTTACAAGGGACGTGAAGGACCTCTTCAAGGAGAACTACAAACCACTGCTCAAGGAAATAAAAGAGGATACAAACAAATGGAAGAACATTCCATGCTCATGGGTAGGAAGAATCAATATCGTGAAAATGGCCGTACTGCCCAAGGTAATTTATAGATTCAATGCCATCCCCATCAGGCTACCAATGACTTTCTTCACAGAATTGGAAAAAACTACTTTAAAGTTCATATGGAACCAAAAAAGAGCCCGCATCGCCAAGTCAATCCTAAGCCAAAAGAACAAAGCTGGAGGCATCACGCTGCCTGACTTCAAACTATACTACAAGGCTATAGTAACCAAAACAGCATGGTACTGGTACCAAAACAGAGATATAGATCAATGAAACAGAACAGAGCCCTCAGAAATAACGCCGCATATCTACAACTATCTGATCTTTGACAAACCTGAGAAAAAGAAGCAATGGGGAAAGGATTCCCTATTTAATAAATGGTGCTGGGAAAACTGGCTAGCCATATGTAGAAAGCTGAAACTGGATCCCTTCCTTACACCTTATACAAAAATCAATTCAAGATGGATTAAAGACTTAAACGTTAGACCTAAAACCATAAAAACCCTAGAAGAAAACCTAGGCATTCCCATTCAGGACATAGGCATGGGCAAGGACTTCATGTCTAAAACACCAAAAGCAATGGCAACAAAAGCCAAAATTGACAAATGGGATCTAATTAAACTAAAACGCTTCTGCAGAGCAAAAGAAACTACCATCAGAGTGAACAAGCAACCTACAAAATGGGAGAAAATTTCCACAACCTACTCATCTGACAAAGGGCTAATATCCAGAATCTACAATGAACTCCAACAAATTTACAAGAAAAAAACAAACAACCCCATCAAAAAGTGGGTGAAGGACATGAACAGACACTTCTCAAAAGAAGCCATTTATGCAGCCAAAAAACACATGAAAAAATGCTCACCATCACTGGCTATCAGAGAAATGCAAATCAAAACCACAGTGAGATACCATCTCACACCAGTTAGAATGGCAATCATTAAAAAGTCAGGAAACAACAGGTGCTGGAGAGGATGTGGAGAAATAGGAACACTTTTACACTGTTAGTGGGACTGTAAACTAGTTCAACCATTGTGGAAGTCAGTGTGGCGACTCCTCAGGGATCTAGAACTAGAAATACCATTTGACCCAGCCATCCCATTACTGGGTATATACCCAAAGGACTATAAATCATGCTGCTATAAAGACACATGCACACGTATGTTTATTGCGGCACTATTCACAATAGCAAAGACTTGGAACCAACCCAAATGTCCAACAGTAATAGACTGGATTAAGAAAATGTGGCACATATACACCATGGAATACTATGCAGCCATAAAAAATGATGAGTTCATGTCCTTTGTAGGGACATGGATGAAATTGGAAATCATCATTCTCAGTAAACTATCGCAAGAACAAAAAAACCAAACACCATATATTCTCGCTCATAGGTGGGAATTGAACAATGAGAACATGGACACAGGAAGGGGAACATCACACTCAGAGGACTGTTGTGGGGTGGGGGGAAGGGGGAGGGATAGCTTTAGGAGATATACCTAATGCTAAATGATGAGTTAATGGGTGCAGCACACCAGCATGGCACATGTATACATATGTAACTAACCTGCTCATTGTGCACATGTACCCTAAAACTTAAAGTATAATAATAATAAAATAAAATAAAAAATTCCAAGACTGAAGAACAAGAGTGGCAAAGAGAGGGAGAGAAAGAGAGAGAGAAAGAGAGAGAGAGAGAGATAGAAAAGATCTTTTAAAATTCAAATAAAATAGTAGTTGGCTAGGGAACCATCTGAAGGCAGATACATGCAGTTGGTTGTGTTTTTAACTCATGGGTATATGGGAAAATGGCTTCAGAAAGCTCAGGAGCTGAAATAGAGATCCTGCTTGGACAGGTTTAAGATACGAGATTGTGTTTATGACAGAATGGAAATTCTGAAGTGCATAGTGGAAAGGTTTGGAGGGAGAAGAACTGAGTGAGACTCAAAGTGCTGAAAGGACTGAGGAAGAAAAGAGCATGCTTGGAATCAGTGATCGAGGGTACAGGTTTGAGAAGAAGGATGGATGAAATTCATCCCAACATTCCAGGAGAATTAGCCTAATGGACAAAGGGTGGATGTAAGGACACTGGCTCTATATGGTACAGATGGGTTACAAGTCTCTAGAAAACGATAAGAAAAAAAAAAAATGGCTACATGGAAGGATTCAGAGAAGGTTCCACCTTGAGAATGAATGTCCCAGGAAGAAACTCAGGAAGTTTGTACAAGAAATGCATCCCACAGGAGGACATAGCAGAGTGGTAAGTTCCTCAATGAGCTTTGGAAAATTGCACTCATTAACTAACTTTGGAACAATTTAGGGTACAAGGAGCCCAAGGATGTGGGTAAAGCAAGGGAGGCAATCACTTCCTCTTGATCTCTGAGATGATGCCAGTTTTCATGGCTTCAGAAAACTGATAGTTGTTGAGCTATTGTACTACATACACCTAAGTTCTCAAAAACATAAGAAAAAGGGAATACCACTGATTATATTTCACTGCAAAGTCATTGTCAAGCCCCTAATATGCGAAATGTCGGTAACAGCCATGTCTATTTTCTTTGAAAAGGATCTGGAATTTATAGAAAACAGTGAAAATTTTTCTGATCAAATTTTATTGGGCAATTAGTAAATTTCTAAATTTTGTTTTCTATATTAGCATTTAAGGCATTCCTGCACAGAAAATACTTTGCATTTTGTTAAGATAACCTCAGACAAATAAACTTATTTTATTTTACTGAATTGAAGATAATCTAAGAGCTGTTTCTGAATTTTACTGAGATATTTAGTTTTCAGACATGCATCACAATCATAAAATTAACACCCTAGATGGATAATGCCTACATAGTGCCATATTTTTTTGTAGCGTACCTATTGTCCTGCTCTTGAATCTCCCCTTCAGCGTACAGATATTTTATTTTCTTCCTGAAAGAAGGGAATCATGAAACCATATATAGATTAATCAGAGAATTAAAATGTACTCCAGGCAAATAGTTATTTACTTTGTTTGGAGGTTAGTAATCCAAATGTTCATTTTAAATTATGTAAATGCTTTCTGTGGTTCTACTTTGGCCTTTTGTAAAAGTAGCATTAACATTGGGCCTAGTCCAAATTTTAAGTTTATAGATTTAAAGTAAGGGAATTAAAGAATGCAAGAGAAAAATTATTTGTTTATCTATGGAGATTTAAATATGACACACCAAACTAATCAGGATATGGCAAAAAGGATAAGTTTGAATCCGTCTAATGTTTAGCTCTCTGATATGAGTCCAATTCTAGCAATCAGAACTTCATTTCAGCAGCAAAAGAAATTATTGAATGTTGGTGGTTGCATTTTTGTTTTCCTTTTTTTGCTTGTTTTTGGTTTTTGTTTGTTTCATAGCCTGTTGTGTTTGGTGTTAGAGTTTGATTTTCTTATGTTGTTTTACTTACCTCTCTTTGCATACCATCTGGTGGATCAGATACTCAAAGTACTTTTCCCTCAATGGATTTTAACCCTGAGCAGCGATCAAAGGGAAAAAACAATTTAAAAATACATATTTATTCACTTTCCTGACAAGAAATAAATGAGACTCTTGGGAATTCATCTCTAAAAAGAAATCCTGGAATTATGTGGTTTCTATTATTTCTGAACAAATTTTCCCTTTTTCCCCACGGATCCTCTGAGCTCCAATAAATTCGCTTTTTAAGTTTGCTGAAGGGAGGCTCAGGCTTTCAATCAAAGAACATAACTTATGAAATAATTGGTTTCAGAAGTGGTTTACAAGTAATAGATCCTAAAGAAACTTAATAAGAAATTTAGTATGTTTGGAATTAATATCTAGGAAAGATGAAACAGAAGGCAGGGCAATTCATTGCTCAATTGCTGGAACTGGAACCTAGAAACCTTGTTACATATTGAGGAAAGAACTAATTAAGGTATTGCTTATGGCCATCTGGAACAAAGTGCTCCTAGAGGGCATGGTTCTGGGGAGCCAGGCAGTGGCTGTCATTTAAAATCAGACAGTAAGGAAGAATGGTTTATTGGGAAGACATTACATAATACAAAACATTACCAGGCAAAATATAGGCTAATTGCCTGAATTCTCACCTTAAAATCAAAATTGAAAATCCAGATATTTTTATAACTTTGATGAAGTAATCTCCCTCTGTTAGCTGAGGGACCAATATTTCCAAAAGTTAATTCTAGGGTGATTTTGTAGGCTGTTGAATTAAAATTCAATGAAATTCTTTGGTCTTATCTGAAAGTTTATATAATTGAAGGAGATACAGCTAGCCCCTGACAATGAAATGTCACTCCACGCAGAATTCAGAAGTCTAAGAACACTAAAGCATTTAGATTTTTTTTTTTCACTTCCAGTATTTGCTTGGGGAAGTATCACCTCTTTTGCCCAAAGAAGTTGGTCATCTCTAGCCTGACGCAGCTGTCCACCCTTGAAATATCCAATATGTGATTTCCTTCATGCTGAATTACTTGTGCATGTAATTTTCTGCACCTTTCACTGGTTTCACTGTCCTTCTTTGGCTTGCAAACTTAGAATAGTCTATTGAAATAGTCAAATGGCAAAGAACACTTGTGAAAATGGATTTTCAGCATGTTCAACCAAGGAAACATAATTGTACTGCCTTCTGAATTATTTGATGTGGCTACATTTTTTCTTCACTCAGGACCACATGTGCCGCATCTTGTTGACATCTCTACTTGGATGTATAATAGAAATCTTAAATTTATTATGTCCAAACCTGGTTTCCTGAATGTGGCAGACTTTATTTCCCAGGGATTGTTTCATGGTATTATCTACATATACAAAGTAACCATTAATAATACCATCATTTATTAAGAGGCAGGGCATTATGTTCTCTCCCCTTCAATCTGAGTAAAGCTTTGCGACTGTCAAGGTAGATAAAATAGAAGTGACAATGTTTGGCTCCTAAGGCTAGATTATAAAAGTGACATGTCTTCTGCCTAGCTATCTCTGTTGATGCTCCAAACTTCAGAACCCAGCCACCAGGTTGAGAGGCAAGCACAGGCCAAGTGTAGGTACACTGGCTGACAGCTCCATGTAAAGCCTTATTCAATAGTTAATAACTAACATAAAATTGAGCCTTCCAATGATTCCAAGCCACTCCCCTTAAGCCCTTCAGCTGACACCAAGTGAAACAAAGGAGAGACATTCCTATTGTATCCTGCTTGAATTGCTATTTCATGAGCATTTAAAAAATTGTTTTAAATCACTTATTATAAGGTGATTTGTTGCACAGCCATAATAACTCAAATGCTGTCTCCCCAAAGGCAGTTTCTCTTTCATTGTTTCTTATACCAGTTTATAGCAACTCAATTCTTTCAGTTATTGAAGCTAAAATATTAGAAATTAATATCTTTATTCCTCTTTTTGTGCTCACGTCCCCTCATTAGCAAATCCTATTGCCTTTAATTTTAACATAAATCTAGTTGGGAGGCCGAGGCAGGCAGATCACAAAGTCAAGGGATCGAGACCATCCTGGCCAACATGGTTAAACCCCGTCCCTACTAAAAATACCAAAAAATTAGCTGGGCATGTTGGCGCCCACCTGTAGTCCCAGCTACTCAGGAGGCTGAGGCAGGAGACTTGCTTAAACCCAGAAGGCGGTGGTTGCAGTGAGCTGATATCGTGCCACTGCACTCCAGCCTGGCAACAGAGACTCCGTCTGAAAAAAAAAATCAATCAATCAGTCCATCAATCTAGAATTCTTTCCATTCTTACCTCCCTTCCTCTACTGCCACCACCTATTCCAAAGCATACTTTTCCACTTCTTCTGTATCATTGCAAAATCTTTTAACTGTTTATCTTTTCAGTTACACCTTTCCTTCTAACCTATCATACATTAAATTATTAGAACCAGAGTCTGAGATAATACTTCTGGTGTGAGTAATTTATTGGGAGGCTACATTCAGGAGAAAGCTGTAAGGAAGCAAGAGAAATGGGATACAGTGCAGGTGTGAAACTTAGGCAAATATGGTTTTGTAAGAAGTCCAGCCACAATCAGCCCCCATAGAAAGCTCTGGAGTGTCAATGGTACCACAAAAGTTGTACTAGCAAAGACTGTTTTTTCTCCATTTGTCAGTAATTAGGGAGAGAAGCTCATCCATAAACTCCCAGGGCTTTTATGTTTGGCTGCTCCTGTTGGCCAAGGGCAGTTGGATGGACAAGATGTAAATGCCAACAGTTACAGATAACACTTGTGGTACCTGGAGAGTGACTGCAGCTGGGAGATGACTGCTAGGTCGATGGACCTCAACTGCATCTGCAACATGACCATATTAAAACTTTAACCACTATTCACATTTCATATTCTCCTTCACCGCTTTTTTTTCACTCACAGAGCTTACTTTTGTTTAAAATATTATATTTGTTTTTGAGTATTTTTCTAATTATTTACTTATTATTTTTTTCTTTTCTTTCTAATTAAATGAAGCTCCACTATGACAGGGCTTTTAAAAGTTGTATGTGTGTGTGGGTGTCTTTTTTTTTTTCACTACTGCATTCTCCAAAATTAGAATAATGCCTTGCATTTAATAAATGCTTCTTAAATGATTTAAACGTTGACTTAATATACTAAGAATACTTAGTAAATATAAATTAAGTATGTATATTTAAGAGTAATATAGAATAGTAATTTATAGTAGAATATATAATAATAATAAGAGATGATAATATATAACTAAGCATAATGCATACTTATTACCATATAATTAAGTATACTTAATATACTAAGAAAGAGTAGATTCTCAAGAAATGTTAGTTCTCTATGCTGGGAAAAACTAAACTGTTCATATGAAACTGAAATCCTCTAAAGCAGGAATTGCAAACTTTTTGTGTACTAAACACTTGAATATTTTTGACATCAACATCTCTGTTGCACCCACTCAACTCTGCTTTTGTGGTGTAAAAATCACTATAGACAATGGTTAGATGACTGAGTGTGATTGTGTTTCATTGACACTTTATTTACAAAAGTAGGAGGAAGCCATAGTTTTCAAACAATATATCCTAATTTCAACCTCTCCTGCTGAGACCACTGAAAAATAGTGGTGGTCTCCTTTGCTGCTGTAAGAAGTAAACCTTCTAGGTCTTACCAACAGAATGTTTTTTTAACATTAGGAGAAGCTAGCAGTTGACGTTTTTCTCATGCTGTGTTACCCGCTTATTTTTGCTCAGGCTTTCTTCCTTCTAGAATACATGCTTGTCCTATCTCTTCATAGTACTAAAGGCTCTTCAAGATGCAGTTCAAAGGATCTTTTTTACCATGGCTCCTTCCTTTATATTATTGCCTGATGTAAAGCCATCTCTCCAGCTCTGGGACACCTATGTTATTTTCCAGATTAGTGCAACGGACAAAAATATTAAAAAAAGAAATAACCTGAAATTTAGAGCCTGGGTCATCTGAGTTTGAATATTGGCTCAGCCTCCTATAAGTGGAATAGGGTTAGACCTGTTTCCTATCATTGTTCAGCCGGTTTTCTTCTTATATGAAATGATATTATAATCTATTTTACATGATTACTTGAAGACCTAAAGAATATGGTGATGAAAAGTAAATTGTGTTCTTTAGGTATTGTGTTTCAGTGGATGTGGCAGCAATTTCAATATAATTTGTTTGCATTTATAAATTTTCACTCATATCTAGGTACCAAAACCCATTTTTTTCTCAATGTTTTTAAAAAATATCTTATGGCATTTAATCCTCCTACTTTATTGGATTATTTTATATAATTTTAGTTTCCCTACTTGACTATACACTTTGGACACTAGTGTTATTGCATCTAACAAAATACTTACTGATCAGTGAATAAGTATTTTGTAATAAATAATGTATGATAGTTGAACAGATAAACTCTACACTCTTGATTTATTCTTGATTGGTACCGTGAATGTGTCTGAAGTCAACATATTCAACTCCTTTGAACTAATTTTAATTTTCCTATTCCCTGAACCAACTTTGTGTTAAGTTCACTCCATTCTGTATAATAATAACTCAAAACATAAGCTTTAATTATATACAAATTATTGAGTGTTTTCCTGTCTTGCATAATAGCAAAGTTCTGTTGAATCATTTTTTTCAAACCTAGAGTTTTTCAACTGATGCCAAAATTCAAGCATGTTCAGAGCACAAAGCTTTGTTACAATTCTGCTGTTTTATACACTTGGTAATCCAAACTCTTTACATCTGTGAAATTAGCAGAAACAAGGTACTTCTGAACCATAGAAAGCCCTTCAGCCAGGCACGGTGGCTCATGCCTGTAATCCCAGCACTTTGGGAGGCCGAGGCGGGCGGGATCATGAGGTAAGGAGATCCAGATCATTCTGGCTAACATGGCGAAACCCCATCTCTACTAAAAATATAAAAAATTAGTCGGGCGTGGTGGCACGTGCCTGTAGTCCCAGCTGCTCAGGAGGCTGAGGCAGGAGAATCGTCTGAACCTCAGAGTCGGAGGTTGCAGTGAGCAGAGATGGCGCCACTGCACTCCAGCCTAGGCGACAGAACAAGACTCCGTCTCAAAAAAAAAAAAAAAAAGGCCCTTCAAAGTTTTATTTTGAAACGTGGGTAATATGGCTAATTGTACTTGAAAACCAATTAGAGATACAACATTGTGTATCCAGGAAAGGACTAGGAACACGTGTATTCAGATTGGCCAGGTTCTTCTGCTACAGACCTTGATGCTAATCATGTAGACTAGCAGGCTGGAGGGGGACTCAGGAGCTTGCGTTTCCACTTTTTAATTTGGGATGTATTTGTATCATCTGAATTAGCTCCCTTCATCAGTTTGCAGTGATTGACTCCAATTTCAGTAGGGCTCAAGCACATAAACAGTATTAGTGTTTAACTGAACAGGGTAAACCTCTCACCATAGTTTATCTATAGCTCTCAAAGTTAATAGATGGACTCTAGGGAGCCAAGAAGAAAGATAGAACAGATTGCAGAGGATAAAGGCCAAAATGTGTGGGCACATTCCGGTGGGAACTTAATTTCCTTGAGAGCAAATTGAAATATTTATTGCAAACTCCTTTTTTCTATTAAAATATGATTTTCTTCAGAGAAAAGAAATATATTTAGTTCTGATGGCCATAAAAACAATACACGGGTATAATTTTAAGTTTTGATAGCCGAGTTAAGGGGTGATACTCACTTTAGAAGTCTTCTTTTATTTCCTTGCTTAAATCATAATAGTTCTCAGGAAATGAAGTTCTTTAGATAAACAACTCTTTCCTTGGTGATATAATAAAGAGACCTCTTGGGCCGGGCGTGGTGGCTCACGCCTGTAATCCCAGCACTTTGGGAGGCCGAGGCGGGCGGATCACGAGGTCAGGACATCGAGACCATCCTGACTAACACAGTGAAACCCCATCTCTACTAAAAATACAAAAAAAAAAAAAAATTAGCCGGGCGTGATGGCGGGCGCCTGTATTCCCAGCTACTCGGGAGGCTGAGGCAGGAGAATGGCGTGAACCCGGGAGGCAGAGCTTGCAGTGAGCCGAGATTGCGCCACTGCACTCCAGCCTGGGTGACAGAGCGAGACTCCGTCTCAAAAAAAAAAGAGACCTTTTGCTTGTCTGCTAGTTTTGATAAGACTTTCTATTTAAACAACTATTTCAAACTGGTTATTTTTCTGTGCTGTTGTTTCCCATGTCTACTTCATCTTGAGGCTAATGATGTTGTTAGAGAGAACCATACACCAGGATCATTTTGCTTCTAACTGTTCACTTTTCATGTGTTTATGTCCTTCATAGGGACTTGGGTTCCTCCCCTCTTATTATTAAGAACCATTAATTCTCAATTAAAATCTAAAAGTTAAAATTATCATATGATATTTCATGTTTATGACCTTAACACTGTAACCTTCTCCTTTCATTCAGGCAAGGAAGAGGGTATAGTTTTATATAGTAGAAATATTATGAACTTAATCCTGATAGAGAAGGATATTGTATTACATTGAAAATTATAAAAGGCATTGACCAAAATAAAACATTCTTCCCAGCTTAGCTAAACTTTAGACAAGTTTTTTCTGACTATAGATAGGATCATGACCTCGCTTTTTAAATAATTTTTATTTTTAAAAACTTGCCTATGTAAATTGTTTCTGAAGCCCTTTTGAGATATACATCTTTCCCAGCCCTCTGCTATTCTTGCAACCTAAGAATGTCTTTCTCAAGTACCTGAGAGTCATACCTCTGAAATTTAATCATAGAAAGAGACAGCAGCATTTTCTCCAAGTCTCGGTTGGAGGATAGCAGCCTCCTATCCAAACAGGATAATTAGCAAACAAGGATGACCTTATCACATTCACCAACATCCCGTCTATTGCCCTTCAGTACTTTTCCTCTACCTAACCCAGCATTTAAAATTCCTCCCACCTTTTGTTTCAGTGGAGTTGAGTTCTGGTCTCTTTCACGTTGCAGTAGTCTTAAAGAAAAAGTCTTCTTTGCCTGTTTAACTCTATCCGTTGCAAATTTTCTTTGGCAACGCTTAAAACCTATGTAGTCTATGGCAAGTTACTTAATTCCATATACCAGCTAGTTATTTACTTTTTTTAAAAAAAAAAAAGAGAGAGAGAGAAATCAATATTATTTTCAGGGTTACGTTAGGTATTATAAAGGTATTATAAAAATACGTTAGGTATTATTATACTTTTTAAATTGATACATAATAATTGTACATATCTATGGGTTACATGTGATATTATGATACATGCATAAAATGTATGTAATGATCAAATCAAGGTAATTGGGATATCCACCACCTCAAACACTTGTTATTTCCTTGTGTTGGGAACATGCCCAGTCTTCTCTTCTAGCGATTTTGAAATATACAATAAATTATGGTTCACTACAGTCACACTACTGTGCTATTGAGCACTAGAATACATTCCTTCTTATCTAATTGTATTTTTAAAGTTATTTTTAATTCTGGATACATATGAGTCGTACATATTTATGAGATACATGTGATATTTTGATGAAGCATAAATTGTGTAATAATCAAATCAGGATAATTGTAATATCCATCACCTCAAGAATTTATCATTTATTTGTGTTAGGAACAGTCCAATTCTGCTCTTTTAGTTATTTTGAGATATACAGTAAATTATTGTTAACCATAGTTACCCTATTGTTCTACTGAACACTAGATTTTATTCCTTTTGTCTAACTGTTTTTGTACTAATTAACCATCTCCTTTTTATCCTCCCATCCCATCACCCTGTCTAGCCTCTGGTAACCATCTTTCTATTCTCTATTTCCATGAATTCATTCTTTTTAGTTCCTTTATATGAGGGAGAACATGTAATATTCATCTTTCTGTACTTACCTTATTTTACTTAATGTAATATCCTCCAGTTCCATTCATTGGGTTGCAAATGACAGAATTTTTTATGGATGAATAATATGACATTGTGTACATATAACACATTTTCTTTATCCATTTATTAATTGATGGGCACTTAGGTTGAATCCGTATTTTGGTTACTGTGAAAAGTGGTGCAATAAACATAAGAGTGCCAGTATCTCTTTGATATACTGATTTTCTTTCCTTTGGATATGTACCCAGCAGTGATATTGCTCATTCATATGATAGTCCCTTCAGTATGGGTAAAGGTAAACTAATTTATATGGTAAAATTTCAAGACGTGAGATTTGATACTCATTTTCCCTCTCCTGGTGAGTCAGAAGATTATAAAACAGGAAGCTCTGTGAGTCAAAATCTCAAATATAAAATGAGACACCAAAACAAGAATGGGCAAGAGAGGGAGCACCTTGATCAACCACAAGCCAAAACTAGCAGAAGCCTGTACATTAACTAAGAAAACAATTGAAGAAAAGCTTCCCTCAGGGTAGGTTCTAAAACTATGCAGATCCAAAATGAGTTTAAAGAGTTTTGAAAATTGGAAAGCTATCATTGCGACTGCAAAGGTTTGGATTGTTTGTTCATTTATTAATTCCATTGTGTTTTTGGAAAAAAAAGGAATAAAAATTGAAGGGATACTTGATGAACTTTTCTTTCTCGTATAACATTTACCCTAACATTAATTGTTGGCATTGTAATTTTTTTTTTTTAAGACAGTGTCTCATCCTGTTGTCCAGGCAGGAGTGCAGTGGCATGATCATAGCTCACTGCAGCCTCGACCTCCTGGGCTCAAGAGAACCTCCTGTTTCAGCCTCCTGA
This sequence comes from Homo sapiens, assembly GCF_000001405.40. Taxonomy (NCBI): domain Eukaryota; kingdom Metazoa; phylum Chordata; class Mammalia; order Primates; family Hominidae; genus Homo; species Homo sapiens. The sequence continues at coordinate 85,583,581 of NC_000013.11, forward strand.
GTAGCTAAGGCTACAGGCACACGCCACCACACCCAGCTAATTTTTTTGTTTTCTTAATACTTTGTAGAGACAGGGATCTTGCTATGTTTCCAAGGCTGATCTTGAACTCTTGGCTTCAAGTGATCCTCCTGCTTTGGCCTCCCAAAGTGCTGAAATTACAGGTGTGAGCCACCTCACCTGCTGGCATTGTAATTTATGTTGTTTAATTTAATACCACAGCAAATATTTATAGATCAATGTATTTTATGTCAATTGAAATTCAATGACTGGAGCAGGAAGTCGGATTCATATCATGGAACTCAAGGCTCATAACCTAAGTCTTTATTATTATTTGCACAGCAAATGATGCTTTTTTCTTTATTGTAAGATCTTACAGGAAATGGAAATATTATGCACCACCTTCCCTGTCATATTAAAGGAGCTATGGGAAAATGGTCTATGTACAGGCAGAGAGGTGACTGTTGGATACCGAACAACTGAAAACACCTTTATTGCATTCAATTTTTGGATTACTTTCCCTTTAGAAATAAGACATAAGTAGAATAGAACTTGGCACTTCAAAATTTCAATTTTTAAGAAATTTTTCCTATATAAAAATATTTCCCTAAATAAAAATATATGAGCTACCCATTTATGGATATATATAAAAATGTATAATTAAAAAGAAATTATGGTTTAATTGTTTTGGGAAAAAACATAATTTGAAATAGCTTTGATTACTAATTAACAAATTACATGAGAAAGTTCAGCTGAACCTCTGATACACTAAAAATAAATGTAATATTTTTTCATGGTAAAAAATGCTTACTTTTCAACCAGAACAACTCATTGTAATGTGTTCCTGTGTGAAAATATAAATGGATATTTATTCCTGTAACTTTTTTTGCTAATATAATTAGCCTGAGTAATAATATGCCTAAGCCTAACAAGAGCATATTAGATGGTTTTGAGAAGTTTAGTTTCGCTTCATAAATCTCTTTTTAGTATTTATTTTTATTTTATTATTTATTTATTTTAATACAAAGCTTTGCAATTAGCAATTTTATTTAAAAAATAAAAGGTACTAAAATAAATGCTTGTGTGGTGTGATTGGTAAATAATCCAAAAAAATAGGTTCTTTTTTTTTCCTTCAAGGCAATCAGCCAGAAAGCAGGTTTTGTTCTTCAAAAAAATATGGAATATTTCATAAATTTGCATGGCATCATTCTGCAGGGGCCATGCTAATCTCTGTATCATTCCGATTTTTTAGTGCATGTGCTGCCAGAGACAGCACCATAAATCTTGTTAAAGTATATTTTGCTCATCTGTGGAATTGACTCAGTTCAGACTTGCTGAGGCTGGGAGATCAAAACTCTTTGTTTAATGCGTTCAGGAACATAGCACTGTTGAGAACATCGTATACATTAAGTAAAACAAGACACAGTTTTTCCTACTTGGGAACTTTAATGAGTAAAATACCTACTTGATCTTTCTTCCCTTACTATTTGATATGTCTTTTATTTATATATAAAAATGCATTATAGCACATTTCTTAAACCTTTCAAGGAATAAAAAAAATTCCATTATTCATTTTTCCAGTACAATATGAGCTCAGCTATGACTTGCAGCCTCTACAAGTGTCAGACGACAGGTACATTTTAAAGCCATTTAAGACCCTTTAGTGATGGAAAACAATGGCAGCATCTGCCTCATTTTGGGAAAAAAATTTAATTAATTAATTTGATTCAATTCCGTTATTTGCTTAAAGCTATATTCTAAAGATTTTGGAAATAAAGAAACATAAGATATAGTAACAAAATAGTGAATAATGCAAGGCCATCAGCTTATAAGTAACATTAATTAATGTAGTATAGGCCACTGTTTCCAAGACTCTAATGTTCACATAAGTTACCTGATGATCTTGTTAAAATGCAGGTTTTGATTCAGGAGGTTGGAGCAGAGCCTGAGAATGTGTGTTCTACCAATATCCCAGGGGATGCCACAGCTGCTGGCCTATGAGCTCCCTGGAGGTATGAAGGGGATGAACCAAAACTGCTGTACATGCTACAGGCAACATGTTAAAAGGAAGGAAGAAAATCAGAAGTGACTCAGTGTCAGGAAAAATTGTGAAAGACCTTGAAATGGGCACATACACAGAAAGATTACTGAGCATTCTGTTTTATGCAATCACGTGGGTTATCTGATTCCCTGGGTATGCCACATTCATTGCCTTTAAGATATTTTACAACTCTATAAATAATAACTCACAATAATGCAAATTATTCCTAGTGAGGGGAATGAACTTTGTCTAACATATTTCCAATTGATTATTGTAACTGCCCAACAGGTTCACCTTACTGGCTGCCTAGACAGAGCCAATTTATCAAGACAGGGGAATTGCAATAGAGAAAGGGTAATTCATATAGAGCTGGCTGTGCCGGAGATTGGAGTTTGATTATTACTCAAATCAGCCTCCCGGAGAATTTGGGGATCAGAGTTTTAAAAGATAATTTAGTGGCCGGGCGCGGTGGCTCACGCCTGTAATCCCAGCACTTTGGGAGGCCGAGGCGGGCGGATCACGAGGTCAAGAGATCGAGACCATCCCGGCTAAAACGGTGAAACCCCGTCTCTACTAAAAATACAAAAAAATTAGCCGGGCGTAGTGGCGGGCGCCTGTAGTCCCAGCTACTTGGGAGGCTGAGGCAGGAGAATGGCGTGAACCCGGGAGGCGGAGCTTGCAGTGAGCCGAGATCCCGCCACTGCACTCCAGCCTGGGCGACAGAGCGAGACTCCGTCTCAAAAAAAAAAAAAAAAAAAAAAAAAAGATAATTTAGTGAGTAGGGGCTTGGGAAGTAGAGAATGCTGATTGGTCAGGTTGGAGATGGAATCATAGGAAGTGGAAGCTGACCTCTTACACTGACTGAGTCAGTTCCTGGGTGGGGGCCACAGGATGAGATGAGCCAGTTTTTCCATCCAGGTTGTGCCAGCTGATCCACGGAGTGCAGGATCTGCAAAATATCTCAAGCACTCATCTTTGGTTTTACAATAGTGATGTTATCCCCAGAAGCAATTTGGAGAGGTTTGGAATCTTGCAGCCTCCAGGTGCATGACTCCTAAACCACAATTTCTCATCTTGTGACTAATTTGTTAGTCCTACAAAGGCAGTCTAGTACCCAGGAAGGAAGGGGGTTTGTTTAGAGAAAGGAGTGTTTTTGTCTGAAATAAAGCTGAACCAAAAGAACTAAGTTCCTCCCAGAGTTAGTTTGGCCTATGTCCAGGAATGAAGAAAGATGGCTTGGAGGTTAGAAGCAAGATGGAATCAGTGAGGTCAGATCTCTTTCACTGTAATAATTGTCTCAGTTACAATTTTTGCAAAGGCAGTTTCATTATTGTCTTATAAATATTGAATTTTTACTTCTATTAGCAACTAGTTTAACATTTCTTATTGCATATGTGCATCTCCTCTCTGGATTCTTCTGTAAATTACTTGTTACAGCCTCATGGCTGCCTTATTGTTTAATGAGTAAATAAAATATTTGGCCTGTAGTCATTTTATGTTTGAATGAATCATAACATTACCCTTTACAAAATTACCTTTGAACTAAGGAAATACTTTGTTTAAGAAATAGAGCTTTGACATATAGGTAAGAAAGATTTAGGCCAAAAGGATGTTAAGAAAAATATACTGTAGTAAGAGAGAGATGAGAGAGGAAATAGGACAAGACATTGATGCATTTATATAAGCAGCAGGTAAAAGTGTTTGGTGGTGAGGGTCAGTCTGGGTGAAGAGCCAGGCAATCAAAGAAGCATTTCAACACACATGCAGTATTTAGAGGAAATTAGTCTAGATATTGAGAGAAGAGAGTACATGAGATAAAAAGAAAAATGAGAATTCCTAATATTGAAGTAATTTGTGATATGGTGATGGACATTTAGGCCAAAAATGAACAAGATTTAATAAACGACTATATTAAAAGGAATAAGAGAGAAAGAAGACAAAGAGACCATATGTTTTTCTTTTTAATTTTTATATTAAAATCTTTTCAAATGGCTGGGTATGGAGGATCATACCCATAATCCCAGCACTTTGGGAGGTCGAGACCAGCCTGGCCAACATAGTGAAACCCTGTCTCTACTACAAATACAAAAATTAGCCAGGCGGGTGGGGTGGCATGTGCCTGTAGTCACAGCTACTCAGGAGGCTGAGGCAGGAGAATCGCTTGAACCTGGGAGTTGGAGGTTGCAGTGAGCAGAGATCATGCCATTGTACTATAGCCTGGGCGACAGAGTGAGACTCCATCTCAAAAAAAAGTTTTCAAACTTATAGAAAAGGAACAGAATTAGTATAGAGGGTTCTCGTGTAACCATACTGACCATTTTAATAAACATTTGAAGTATTTAGTTCATTATTCTCTCACCTGTTTTATTAACTTTTTGAGAGTAGGTATGAGTATCATAATTGCAATAGGTTTGAAGTGGACTTTTAAAAGAGAATGTCATTTCTCCTAAGAAGAAAAATAATACATAGTTAAAAAATTTAAGAAAAGCAGAGACTTGGAAGATAAGCTATTTTGGTGAATATATGTCTCAGTCAACAAAACACAATACAGCATTTAACTTGAAATTAAGCCTACACACCACAATATTTCAGCTAAATTTTTGGCTAAAAACCTGTGAGATACTTCTCTTTGCTTCTAAGTACTGTAACAAGTAAATATTTTTCTACGTACGTCAGTGAAAGATCTCTAACTTCAAGAGACAAATAGCTTTGTCCACACCATTTCTCTCATTTGTTTGATAAGAGACAGAAATTTGTTAAGATGTTCAAATGGGTAAAATTTTCTTGTGTGCAAAAGTGAAAGATTAAAATACCCACACCACATTGTATACATAGCTCTTTATTGACATCAACTATTCTTTAGTCACTATGTTACTAGGGATCCCGAATCCCTTTCTTTCTCCTTTATCTTTCAAATACAGCAAAGTATCTTGCACAATAGTGGCACCTGAGCTGATGAACTTGGCTAAGCCTAGTCCATGGGTGGCCATTCAAGGTCAGGTGTTAAACTATAGCTCGTGGGTTGTATCTGGTCTGTTGCCTGTTTTTGTACGGTGGGTCTAGAAAATTAGGAATAGTTTTTACATTTTTGAAACCTATAAAATATTAACTTAGTAAATAATATTTTGTGACATACAAATATATATCCGTAAATAAGGGGTTTTTTTTGTTTGTTTGTTTTATGTTTTGAAATGGAGTCTTGCTCTGTCACCGAGGCTGGAGTGCAGTGGCACCATCTCGACTCACTGCAGCCTCTGCCTCCCGGGTTCAAGCGATTCTCCTGCCTCAGCCTCCCGAGTAGCTGGAATTACAGGGACCTGCCACCATGCCTGGCTAAGTTTTGTATTTTTAGTAGAGATGAGGTTTCACCATGTTGGCCAGGCTGGTCTGGAACTCCTGACCTCAGGTGATCTGTCTGCCTTGGCCTCTCAAAGTGCTGGGTGTAAGGGATAATTGGAAGGACAGCCGAGAAAGGAATGAGGCCAGTAAACCTAAGTTCAGGCAAACTGATTTATTGTCAGTCCTGCCGGGCTACCTCCTGACAAAAGCAGAGGAGGCAGCCCCGCTTACAGACTACAACAGGGCTTCATAGGGCGAGGAAATGGGTCAGGGTTGGGGAGCTGAGTTGGGTGTGCAGGAGGGCTGAGTCGGGATGGGGAAGCTGAAATGGGTGTGCAGGAGGGCTGAGTGGGGGGCTGAGTCAGGGGTGCAGGTGTCTTGACTGCACCCTGGAGATGTTTTTGCCAGCTTTGTTATGTGAGGTGAGCAGACATGTTAACTGCATCCTGTAACTGCCTAGACAAACAGTTACTGGAGGGGTCAGTGAAGGGGAGTTTGTCTTTAGCCCTGGGGGAGCCATGCAGAGGTCACAAAGGACTGCACTGTAAGACCTATGGGAAGGGAGGGGAAACAGTCTGGTTGGGGTTACCCTAACACTGGGTTTACAGACGTGAGCCACCGCACCCAGCCTGTAAATAAGGTTTTATTGGAACACACCATTCCATTCACTTATATACCATCTTTGGCTTCATTGAACTAGAATGGTAGAGTTGAGGAGTTGTGACAAAAAAGGTTTGTCACACAAATCCTAAAATATTTGCATCTGGCCTTTTGCAGAAAAACTTGTTGACATCTGCTCAAGGAATGCAAGGTGACCTGCTCTCTCTTTTTTTGTTTTGTTTTGTTTTGTTTTTGTTTGAGACAGAGCCTTGCTCTGCCCCCAGGCTGGTGTGTGGAGTACAGTGGTGTGATCTTGGCACACCACAACCTCCACCTCCCTGGTTCAAACAATTCTCCTGCCTCAACCTCCTGAGTAGCTGGGACTACAGGCGCATGCCGCCACACCCAGCAAGTTTCTTTCTATTTTTAGTAGAGACAGGGTTTCACCGTGTTGCCCAGGCTGGTTCCAAACTCCTAGCTCAGGCAATCTGCCCGCCTCACCCTCCCAAAATGCTAGGATTACAGGCGTGAGCCACTGCACCCGGCCGACCTGTCCTCTTTTTTAGTTTTGAAACAATGGACAGTGATCATGGTGCTCAAATGTAAGTGTTTGTTGTAGTTTTTAATGCTGGAAGGCCACTTCCCGCTCGTCTTTTGGTTAAGTATTACAGGTTGCACAAGTTAGAAAATGTGGAAATGAACTGCTCTCCATGACATTTCTTCCTCTCCCTTGGGAATTGAATGGCCTAAGTCTTTTTCTACAATTCCCTTCCAGTAATTTTTTTTCAAGCCTAACTTTTTCCTAGAGGAACAAAAAAATGTTCATCTGGAAAATGGCCAAAGCATCTTAGCTGAAAGGCTGGGTTCTCCAAGGGTCACATGGCCCACTTCGCCCTTCAAGTTTTCATTCACTGGGAACAGATGAGTGCAAACCTCATAGTAGTTCTCAACCTTCCTAGGGGCATTTGGAAATATTTAGAGGTGCTTTAAAATTTTTTCTTAAAAACATGGGAACCAGCTATCAGAATTTTAATAGGTAAATACCAGACGTATGAAACATCATGCAATGCATATTACAGTGAACAATTATCCTTTCAAAAAATTCAAGGGTACACACATTGAGAAATACTGTTTTAGAGGATAAAAGACAAAACAAAACAAAACCCAAAGCAAAACAAAAACTTTTTTTGCCTCCCATCTCTCAAGACAATCAGAAAGGACTTGGTGCCCATCTGACTCATCAACTACAGGCCACAAGTAAAATAATAACACCCAGATGATGACAAGTGTCCAAACATCCCAGCCACATGGAATTTTCCTGCTGCCTTTTGGGAACAAGTTTTATATTCTTTACTATTTTTTCCCCACAGGTAAATGTAATTTAAAACTATGTTCATGGCCGGGCGCGGTGGATCATGCCTGTAATCCCAGCACTTTGGGAGGCCGAGGGGGGTGGCTCACCTGAGGTCAGAAGTTTGAGACCAGCCTGGCCAACATGGTGAAACCTCATTTCTACTAAAAATACAAAAATGAGTCAGGCATGGTGGCGGGCGCCTGTAGTCCCAGCTACTTGGGAGGCTGAGTAGGAGAATCGCTTGAACCAGGAAGGGGAGGTTGCAGTGAGCTGGGATTGTGCCACTGCACTCCAGCCTGGGCGACAGAGCCAGACTCCATCTCAAAAAAACAAAACAAAACAAAACTATATTCTATCGCGATATTTTTAAAAGTATTACAGCAAAAATGTTTTCTTTTCTTTCTTATTTATTTATTTTTTGTTTGTTTGTTTGTTTTGTTTGAGATTGACTCTTGCCCTCCCACCCAGGCTCAAGTGCGGTGGTGCAATCTCAGCTCACTGCAACCTCCACCTCCTGGGTTCAAGCGATTTGCCTGCCTCAGCCTCCCCACTAGCTAGAATTACAGATGTGTACCACCATGCCCAGCTAATGTTTATATTTTTAGTAGAGACAGGGTTTCACCATGTTGAGGGTGGTCTCAAACTCCTGACCCCAAGTGATCCGCCTGCCTCAGCCTCCTTTAAGTGCTGGAATTACAGACATGA